>NC_000003.12:194007573-194158572 GCF_000001405.40 Homo sapiens
AAGCCTAACTTCCTGATATACTACCATCCTCCTTTGGGAAGGAAGAGAGACGGATTGCAGCACCAGCCAGCGTCTGAAGGAACTACGTGCACCCTCCTCTTTCCATCCTCCCCACTCCTGACGCTGTTAACAGCACTCTCCTGTCATGGTTAGTGCTAAGTGTCAATTTGATTGGGTTGAAGGATGCAAAGTATTGTTCCTGGATGTGTCTGTGAGGGCGTTGCCAAAAGAGATTAACATTTGAGTCAGTGAACTGGGGGAGGCAGACCAACCCTCAAAGTGGCTGGGCACCATCTCATCAGCTGCCAGCACGGCTAGAATAAAGCAGGCAGAAGAAGGTAGGAGAAGCTGACTTGCTGAGTCTTCTGGCCTTCATCTTTCTCTTGTGCTGGGTGCTCCCTGCCCTTGAACATCAGACTCCAAGTTCTTCGGCTTTTGGACACTTGAACTTACACCAGTGGCTCTCTCTCTCTCTGGCCTTCAGCCACAGACTGAAGACTACACTGTCGGCTTCCCGACTTCTGAGGTTTTGGGATTCAGACTGGCTTTCTTGCTCCTCAGCTGGCAGAGGGCCTATCATGGGACTTCATCTTGTGACTATGTGAGTCAATTCGCCTTCATCTATACATCCATCCTACTAGTCCTGTCCCTTTAGAGAACCCTGACTAATACACCTCCTCGTCCACTACGACCCAAGGAACTGTAGAGCTCCGCTAAGAGCCAGTAGCCCATCAGTCATGCCCTCTGTAGCAGGTTGAATGATGCCCCCGAAAAGAGATGTCCACATCTTAACCCCCCAAATCACGAATGTGACTTAATTTGGAAAAAGAACCTTGCAGGTATCATTAAGATTCTCCATATGAAATCATCTTGTATTACCAGGATGTGCCCTAGATCCAAGGACAGGTGTCCTTCTAGAGATGAAGAGAAGACAGAGGAGATGGAAGTGATGCAGCTACAAACCGAAGAACCCCTAGGACCACCAGGAGCTTACAGACTCAAGGAGGCTTCTTCCCTAGAGCCTTTGAAGACAGCCTGCAGGCCGGGCGCCGTGGCTCACGCCTGTAATCCCAACACTGTGGGAGGCACAGGCAGGCGGATCACCTGAGGTTGGGAGTTTGAGACCAGCCTAACCAACATGGAGAAACCCCGTCTCTACTAAAAATACAAAAATTAGCCAGGCGTGGTGGTGGAAGCCTGTAATCCCAGCTGCTTGGGAGGCTGAGGCAGGAGAATCACTTGAACCCGGGAGGCTGAGGTTGCAGTGAGCCGAGATCGTGCCATTGCACTGCAGCCTGGGCAACAAGAGTGAAACTCTGTCTCAAAAAAAAAAAAAAAGAGAGAGAGAGAGAGCCTGCAGCCTTGCTAACACCTTGATTTTAGACTTCTGGTCTCCAGACCTGTGAGAGAATAAATTCTGCTGTTTTAAGCCACTCAATTTGTGGTAATTTGTTACAGCGACCATATAAAACTAATAATTTCACTTTTGCAAAATAACTTTTCTTCATTTCTTCCTCTCTTTGATATACTTCCTAAAGGCAAGAGCTACAAACCAGTATACTAATGGACTGGGGAAAAAGCCTACCTTTCTCTCTATCCAGTCCCCAGGGCAGGGCCGCAATTACGTTCAAAGGGAGGGAGAATGCCAGCTCACAAAACCTGACTGCTCCACTTCCTCTCCAGGGGAGACAGCAGCAGTGAGAGAGGCTGAATCCGTGATTATGGACTATGCAGAAAGTGAGTCTCAAAATAAACAGCTCCTGGAGTCAAAGCTCAGGGGACGACATATAGAATTTTAGAGTCTTCAGGACAGAGAGAGAGCAGGTAGTTCAACTTCTTCAGGGAGAGTTTTCAGAGGTACAAGAGAGCAAGGAATTTTGTATATTTGCATATGTTTTTGTTTTATTGAGGACTCTGAGGGCTGGAGAGCAGAGAAATCTGTCCAGGGTCACAAACTAGGGGCTGATACCAACTTCACCACCCAGTGCAGGAGGGCTCTTCTTCTACTTCTGGGGTCCCGCCTCTGTGGTGCTGCCCCCAGAATGGGGGCTTATTACATAACAGGTCTCACTCCCTTAGGTCCTTCATAAGCCCTCAGCTCTCCTGGTCTGGGGACCCCACTCCATGTCATTTTAAACATCTTAAAATGCATGATTATCTCATATCAAATGTAATTTTTTCTCTTTAAAAATCTCATGGTTCTTTTATAATTTTTGCTTCTGAAAGTAATTGCCTATAAACAACTTGCTTGATTTTAGATTTTCTACAGTTTTCAGTAATCATCATACAAACCCAGGAGAATCTAGCCATAGATTGTTTTCAAAAGCAATGAAATTTATATGAATGCTACATTTCATAATTAAAAAGACTGGCATTATGCTTTCTGTTGTACAGATTTAATTAACATTTTTATTAATTTCAGGTCTGCCTTTTAGTGTTTTGATTGGGAAGTATTTGGGGAAGCCTTCACATGAAGGATGGTCAACAGGTGTTAGCAGGTAAGGTAGACAGAACTGGGTGGCAGTGCCTGAAATGTCCAGCAAACATCTCGGCTTGTGGGGCTGAGTGTAGGTGAGGGAAATAGCAGGAGAATGGATTTTAAGCACTGAGCCAGGCACTACCATATCCATAATCTCCTCTGAGACTTGGAAACCAAGCTGGGGCCAGGTTACAAATGACTTCACATGCCATTCTCCCCGCTGCCTGCCACTTGTACCTTGGGCAGCCACTGGGGACATTCCTGGTTCTGGATTCCTGCCTCTGAGCAGCTCTCTTAACATGAGTAGGAGGCCTGTGCTTCCCCACACCCGTTTCCATCTGTTTGCATGGACCAGAGCCACTTGAGATAGGGCCTTCCTAGGAATAGAAGGTAAGACCAGCATCATTCCAGGGCCACTGTGGATGGGCTTTCCCCGCCCAGGAAATGACTGCTGCATTGATCTCTGTGCCACTCAGGCCAGGGCATCCTTGTGGGGAGGATTCCAGTCTGCATTGCATCAAATACCTATGAGAGGGAAAAGCCGTTTAAGCTAAGCATATGTTTATTTGATTGAAACAAATAACTCTCACAGGCCACAAACAATACAGGCAGACAGATGTTTCAAGCGGCACCTCATCAGCTGATTGGGCCATCATGCAATATCAGTGCACAGAATAATTCTGGAAAGATTCTAGGAAGGGAAGTTGGCTATCTTAAAATCTCTCCCTTTGGGATGAATTTCACAGCAACCACTTTAGATGGCAGTAGCGACTGATTATCCCCATTTTAAACCTTAGAACAGAAGGACCACTCCCCCAGTGATACCCAACTAGGAATGGAAGAAGCCAAGAAGACCACAACCCAGGTCTTTAGACTCTGAGATCTCTTTTCGTTGAGCTTGGCAGAACTACCACTCCAAAGACTCACAGCCTCTCAACGAATGGTGAGAGCATGTTACAAAGACATAGAAACTGGCTTGAAAGGGCGCCTGCTGGTCAAACCTGGGACAATTTATTTATCAAAATAAGTAATAATGATAATAGTTGTAACTTTTGAGTAAAATAGAAATCTGTAAATCCACACTGATACAAACAAATACACAGAAAGAAGAGAAAGCTGTCTTTATAGTAAAATGACAACTGGTAAAAGTAGACATAATGGAATTAGAATCACCATTTAGCAATCATCATAGTGATATTCAGCCAAGAAACATCAGTAGATGTTAGAACTAGTGGGTGAATGTTTACTAAGAAATGGGGAAATTTCATACTTTCAGAGTACCTCCAGCCAAATTCTTATTAACGACAAAGGGAAAAAGAGTAATTTTACAATGAATAGTCCTGACAAATACCACCTCAACTGAATAATCAAAGTGAACATTGGCTGGGCGCGGTGGCTCATGCCTGCAATTTCAGCACTTTGGGAGGCCAAGACTTGTGGGGCACTTGAGCCCAGGAGTTTGAGACCAGCCTGGGTGATATGGCAAAGCCCCATCTCTACAGAAATACAAAAAGTTACCTAGGTGTGGTGGCGTGTACCTGTAGCCCCAGCTACTTGGGAGGCTGAGGTAGGAGGATCACCTGAGCCTGGGAGGTCGAGGCTGTAGGGAGCCGAGATCATGGCACTGCACTCTAGCCTAGGTGACAGAGTGGACCCAGTCTCAAAAAAAAAAAAAAAAAAAGCAAAACCAAAAAAAACCTACAGTGAACATCACCAATAATGGGTCAAGTAGAAATCATGCACCACCTGATCAGATGTAAATATCTTGTCAAAAATACACCTCTCAATCTAATCAGGAGAAAACATTCGACAAAACCAAACTGAGAGACATTCTACGAAATAATCAGCACATCCAATCAAAAGTGTCAGTTATGAAAGTCAAGGAAAGATCGAGGAACTCTTCTGACTGAAGGAAGCTAAAGAGACATGACAATTACATGCAACAGGTGTTCCAGGATTGGGTCCTTTTGCTAGAACAAATATTATTTGAATAATTGTCAAAACTTAAATGGCATCTGAGGATTAGATGGCAGAAATGTTTTGATGTGAATTTCTTTATTTTGATGATTGCACTATAATTATGTAGGAGAATGTCCTTGTTTGTAGGAATTACACACTCAAGTGTTTAGGTTCAGGTTAAAAAGTTCTTTGTCTATTTCTGCAGCTCTCCTGTAAGCATGTAATTATTTCAAAATAAACAACTTAAAGAAAATTCCCAGACGCGAGTGAAAGCGGGGGATATTAAATATATTTTTGTCACTTCTTCCAGGAAATAGGCTGCCTTCCTCAAGGACAGGGTAGTAACCAAGGACAAGCTGTCAGTTGAGACAGCTTGGTGTGCTTCTAGAAAGCCCTGTTTGCAATGAATGTGTGCAAATCAGTCCTACATCCCCAGTAGCTTAAATTTATGAGACTTCATTGTCGTTTACAGTCAACCTTTAGTTAACAGCAGCTCTTTCATTTTACCTTTACATCTGACTCATTCAATGAAAAAAATTTTCTGAAAAACAAAACACTGAAGAGTTCTGAAATAGCTTCCATCCATAAGGACCTTTTAATAAATGTGTTTAAAAAAAACTACAAAATCTAAATCTGTAATGTCAATGCTGGTTTCCTTAAAAGGGAGAACAACCAGAAATGAATGTGCTATCACCCAGCATGTAAGATAAACAAAATCAGCACCAGCTTACCACCACACAGAGCAATATACCTTCCTGTTATATTCTTCTTGCTGTCTACTGCTTTTCTGCTAAATTATGAATTTCCAATGAAATGTTTTACAGTGTATGACTCTTCTGTCTACCAATAGCTGGCTTGCCCTCCCTCACTCCCTCTCTCCTTCCCTCCCTTCTTCATTGTCTTCATGCACCTGGGGAGATCAGAAAGTGTGTTTTTCTTACAAACCTTAGGAAAACTATAACACCTAGTGAGCCTATAATTAAACTTAATATAAACTGGGAAAGGCAGACAAGAAAGAAAATGAAAATTGTGAATTGGATGAGACAGGCAGTTAGCACATCCCCATTTCCTTTGTGAAAGACGAGTAAAGTCTGCAGACGTCAAGTTCTCTCTGTGTGCTGTGCCTAACTTGGATCTGTATTTCAACTCTCCTTTCTCAAAGAAATGCCATGTCCTAGGGATGCTTGGAGCGTTTCCGCAGCATTCCACAGGAAGCTGCAATGACCCTCCATCCTCTCCAAGTAGAACAGGCTGTCTCCAACTCACAATCTCACTATGTTCCAAAAGTTCTTTTTTCTTTTCTCTTTTTTTGTTTTTTGACACGGAGTCTCACTCTGTCGCCCAGGCTGGAGTGCAGTGGCACAATCTCAGCTCACTGCAACCTCCGCCTCCCGGGTTCAAGCGATTCTCCTGCATCAGCCTCCTGAGTAACTGGGACCACAGGTGTGTGCCACCACACCTAGCTAATTTTTTGTATTTTTAGTAGAGACAGGGTTTCACTGTGTTAGCCAGGATGGTCTCGATCTCCTGACCTCGTGATCTGCCCACCTCGGCCTCCCAAAGTGCTGGATTATATGTAAGCCACCGCGTCTGTCCCCAAAAGTTCTTTTTTAAAGTATCATTTAGAGATTGGAAATAATGTTACAAATTATGATTAGATTTCCCAATTAGCCACAGAAGCTCCCCATAATTAGTGTATAATGTAACCAATACATACACAAGCTAATGTAACCAAGCATGGATGCGCATGCATGCATGCGCGTGCACACACACATACACACACACAGCCTTCCACATACACAAAATGAAAACAATAATAGAAAAAAATGCATAGTATATCCCCTACATCATGCATCAACAAGCGTCTATGGGCTAGCCTGGGACTCTAACCAACATTTTCACATTGATTCACTAGGAAAAAGAAAATCGAATCCAATTTAGAACTCAGGCCTTTGGATACATTCTTTCCCTATCCCATAGTTCCTTCTCCCATCACATCTCACCCTGCAACCCCACACTACCTCATCCGTGACAAGTATGGAACACTCTTCTCAGCTCCTCAGGCCAGAGCTACCTCTTGAAAAGGAAACCTCATTCCACAGAGGGTTTCACTCTATCACACACACACACACACACACACACACACAACACAGACATATGCACACACAGAAACATAGAATGACTAAGGTGGCATTTTCCGGTGATGGCTGTGAGACAAGCATCCATAGTTCAGAGGCTACATTAACATTAGTGATGCATGTTCACAAGCGGCCCCTTCACTTGGAATTCTGATATGAACAAGAACATGGTGAGGGGGTCATGCTAAGCCAAGCTCTCATTCATTCCCACAGATAGAGACCCCAGGCCTATACTCAGTTTTATGATACTGTACTGTGATCATTGTCTTGCTGTAATTTTGTTTTCTCTATTTCTGGCATGATCTGTTTCATTGAACACAGAAAATATGACATGTGGGCAGAAAATGAGGCCTAAAAAGAAATTTAGGAAAGCAAATTTCATTTGTCATTTTACCACTAGATAGGCATTTCATTTAGGACAGGTTTCTAGTGAAACTTGGTGAAATTTTCTTGTTTCAAACATCTTTGGAATAGTCTAATTCTCATGATGATGAGGAAAAGAAACAAGAAGAGGGAGGAGAAGACCTAAATAGCCATTGGTACCAACTCATTGCTGTAACCACACACAGCTATAAATTTATTAGATGTGACACGATTTAAGTTTCAAAAAATGAAAAGAGCATTGCCAGGATGATCTCACTGAAAGTAAAAATGTCCTTGAAATTCTTATTCTGTGACAAAAAATGAGGGCAAATCTGTCTGGTATTCTCTCTCCTTGTTCTTCTTCAAGACAAAGTTTCTAAAATAATCTCAGACGTGGTGTAACATTTGCCAGACAGCTGTTCTAGGGAATGCCAGGAAGATAATCCTTGGGTCTATCATCGTCTTTTGTATTTTTTCTCCCTTCAGTACATTCTGGGTTCAGGCCAGCACATAGACAACATGTTCAGAAAGTTTAGAAAGTCTCTCTAGGGAGACTTGATGTCTCTGGAGGTCTTTTATGCCGATTTTACTGGCCTCGTTGAGAAGGCAGTTTCTTGACTTCTTGGCAAAGGGATTGACCTTAAGTCTGTTTCTAGAGGGCAAATGTCTGTCAAGATGAAGCCGTGGCTGAGGCTCACCACTCAGGGATTCACCTGATCTGAATTCTCTTTCTCCATCCCTGAGATAGCTCCCATGGATGGTGAGTGAAACTCTGAACCAGGAATTATAGATTTGGTCATCTTATAACTAGAAAAAGACCCTAGAGGACATTTAGCTTAGCACTCTCCCTTCCAACGTATTGGTGACCCCCACTGTCCAGCAGAAATGAGTTTTCTAGAAAACAAAATGCTTTCTCTCAATACACATGTTCAAAATCTCATGCATATTTTAATACTTATGACTTCATATTTCATTTGAATGAGTGCGATGATTAAATTTGGGACAGAGAGAAAAAGAATCCTGTGTGTTTACACAAACCTAGTATAAAATCCTGAGGTCAGCCCTTCCCTCAAATCTTCAAAACACAGTTCGCTGATGATGCTGCTTCTTAAACCTTCATCATCTGTCAGAGAAAAAAAAGACTGTTACTAGAAGAGGAGACAGAGGAGCATACAATATGGACATGGGACTGGAAAACAGACACTGATCTGAGGCAGAGGCAACGTGATAAAAAGTTCATAGCTCTCTTTCAGGTCCCGACAGATGGACCCAGGAAGCCAGATTTCTGGCCGTGGAGAAATTGTTCTCTTGTCACCAGGCTTTCTCCAGTTCTACCATGAAATAGGCTAGTGTATTAGTTTGTTAGCATTGCCATAACAAAAAGCCACAGACTGGATGACTTAAACAACAAAAATTAATTTTCTCTCAGTCCTGGAGGCTGGAAGTCCAAGATTCAGGTGTCAACAGGCTTGGTTTCCTCTGAGGTCTCCTGACTTGCGATGGCCAGCTGCCTTCTTCTGTGTCCTCACATGATCTTTCTCCCCTATGACATTCGTGGTATCTCTTTTTGTGCCCAATTTCCTCTTCTCATAAGGAAGGACATACCTGTAGTCCCAGCTACTGGGGAGGCTGAGGCAGGAGAATCGCTTGAACCTGGGAGGCAGAGGTGGCAGTGAGCCGAGATCGTGCCACTGCACTCCAGCCTGGCAACAGAGTGAGACTGTGTCTCAAATAAATAAATAAATAAGGAAGAACACCAGTCAGATTGGACGAGGGCCCACTTAAATGGCCTCATTTTTCACTTATTCACTGCTTTCAAGGCCTTATCTCTGAATACAATCACATTTGGGGCACTGCGGGTTAAGGCTTCCATACATGAATTTTGAGTGGACACAGTTCAGCCCATAACAGAAAGAATTCTTTTCAAAATAAGATGCTAAAATCCAAACAATTCATAGGATTTCAGAGTTTTTTTAAACCAAGTCAAATAAGAAGCATGATTAAGTCCATGATATCATCACAGGCCCTGCGCTCACAGCAAGTGAACAATGGTCCCGTTGAAGTAAGAAAGCCTAAGTCTGTCTCTTCTGACCAAACCTCGTCACCTGGGTTCTAAGGCTCTTCCAATGTGAGCTTGGAACCGAGACTGAAACTCACCAATAGAAATATGGGGCACTTGAGTGGTTTTTAATTTTCTAATAGCCACGTTAAAAACAAGTAGACTTAATTTTAAAATATATTTTAACTCAATATATTCAAAATATCATCATTTCAATATGTAATCAGCATTTAAGAACTGTGAATGAGCTATTCTACGTTCCCATTGCCACACCATGTCTTCAGGCGCTGGTGACTATTTCATGCTTACGGCACATCTCAATACATCCCAATATCTCATGCTAACGGCCACATTCCTGGTGCTCAGCAGCCACGCGTGGCTGTGCAGATGTAGGGAGTGGCCAGGTCTACAGTGGCCCAGGAAATTGACCTGTGTTCTGCTCCAGTCTGAAGTCTGAGGATTTACTGAATGAGTAGGATGGGTCTGCAAGGAAAAAGATATCATGAGGTCCTCAAGAGCAGTCAGTGACTTTGGGGATCTTTATGGACCTCGTAGAGTGGCCTAGAGACTTGTGAATCGGGCCCTGTCACACTGGTGCCTTTCAAAACTTAAGACCTTATTGGCTAACCAAGGACGGGGCTCAGGAGCAGAGCAACCCAAGAAGGACACTGACCATCCTCATGCCTCTCAGCTCTGACTTGGCAAATAGCCCAAGAAAGAATTCTTACCTCAGCCCTCCATTCTTCCACTGACTGGTCCAATTATTTAAGCCCACGTCCAACAGGAATCAAATAGGTCTACTGAGAAATGTTATATTAGGTTATCTCCCCTCACAGGTCTTTCCTTTCATGCCAGCTTTCGAGGAGTCCATCACGAGGGAGTGGGAAGAAGGATGCTTCCCTGCAGACCAGCAGGTGTCTTATGATGGTGTCATATAAGAAAATATTCATTGATACAGAAGTGAATATTTTCTTATATGATTGGGGGAGCATTCATAGTTGGTGAAAAACTTTGGAAGTCAATGGCCTTGGAGGATTATTGACTTGGGAAAATTGTATGGGAAGTTGGAGGGGTCCCTACTCCCCAAAGGGTTTTAAGGCAAGTCTAGTAGCAAAGCAAGTGGCCTAAAAGACAGACCAAGGCAGCTTTCTCACTGCAACAACACAGGCTCTCTTCTGTTGCCGGTCGTAATAGAAGTCACCTAAACGTGTCATTAACTAGGAAGAATTGTAAGATTATCTACAGAGCTAAGGCTTTGTCCTAACAGCACATTCCTAGTACTGACATTTCCCACTTACATGTGATTTCCATGATGTATAATAAAACGTTTGATCCCCAGAACATCCTTATGAGGTAGACTAGAAAACCGAGGCTCACTGAGGCAGCAAAGTGAGTGTGTTGTAGAGGATTGCAAAACGAGTCTTACCTCAGGTCTATATAAATAGTATACAGGGTCATTGACATGTTAACATATCTCCATGTGTAGTAAATAAACACTTAATAAAAATTGGTTGAATGAATACCAAATAAGAAACTGATTTCCTTGAAATTTCTCAGAAGACAACATTTCCAGGTTTAAGTGTGCTCAGAAAAATGGATCAAAGTGTCTTTGCCTGATTAATATTGTTTAGGAACAGCAGAAGATATTTTCTTTAGATTTTTAAAAATAAAATCATTATACAGAGGTGGCTTGAGAACACCCATCTCCATTTCTCCAGGCTTCTTGCAACACTGCATAGATACCCCAGCCATGGTGTTTAACATTAGGCAAAGCAGCCTCCATGGGGAAAATGTATCGTCCACATTTGACTTTGACCATCCACAGAGGCAGGGCCAGCCCAGCAGAAACGGTGCTGGGCGTGTCAGCCTCTACCAAGGCCTGTGCTTTCCTCACTTAACCTGGAGGTAGGAATTTCCAGTGAAGAAGATGCTAGAAACAGGGCCAAAGGGATTGAGTAGAGGTAACTGAGTAGGAGGAACAAACTGCCGAAGAGAGAAAATTGTCTCCCTATTGACTATTTTTATCCTTCAGGTTCTGATCCACCATTCCTGTCTCGGGGGAGGAGGGAATCAAGGGATCTCTGACACTGGGTGTTCAAGCTGAAAGAAATCTAGAGATACTAACAACAAGAATAACCAACACGTGCAAGTCCCAGGCATAGCCTAAACACTTCACCTATATTAACTCATTCAGTCTCTGGCAGGTACCCCTGTGGCCCATCCTCCTCTTCCGTAACCCCATCTTGTATGAGCCCAAGTTCCACTGTTCACATCATCTTTGGAAGACCCAGGTGGATGCTCATCCACCCCCATCCTGGAGTTGTGCAACCCTGTGGCCTTTTGCCCATTTTACAGTGGGAGAAACATCACATATCCAACAGCCTCACTTTACTGATGGAGAAAGTGATAGGAACTTACCACACAGCAAATTACTGACAGAGCTGATTCTAGGACCTTGACCCACCCCCCCCAGTTTTGAGTCTGATGCTTGTGCAGTCTGCCATGTGCTGCATTTTGGAAGCTATGAGTGATGGATTCCTGCATCCCTACCTTGAAAAAGCTCACAACAGACAGGGGAAGATACTGGTAACTCAGGTACAGAAGCACCAGGACGCCTTCCGCTGTCAGGTTCTGGCTCATGGTTCCATCACCCTCCTGGTTACACTTGGTGTCCCCTTCCTCAAGTCCCTCCTCCAGTAGGTCACTACCCCTTTCATCTTAGCAAGCGTCTGTGCTTCAATTCCCTCCTCCAGAGGGTGGAGATAATAACAGAACTTATTCCTGGGTACATATGGGAATTAAATAAGTTAATATTTCTAAAGCAAATAAAATAGTGCTTGGCACAGAGTAAGCATAATATTCAGTGTTTTGTTAAAATGCTGGGTTATTAAACGGCCTCCTAGCTTTTTTTGCCTCCTCCAATATCAAACATTCTTGCTAAGACACAACCCTGCTACCACCTGCCACGCTCACGTTGCCTGTAGTAGTAGTTCTCAAATGTTAGTTGCCACAGGAATTTCCTGGGGTGCTTGCAAAAAGTGCAAATGTATGAGCCACTCCCTGAATTCCGGTTTAGGAGGTCTGGGGTGGGGCCCAGAAATCGACATTTTCAACACGTATCCACAAGGGATTCGGATGTAGGTGGTCTGACACCACAGTTTGAGAAAAAGAGGCCTCCTAGGTAAAGCCCACCTTTAGCATGGCCTTCACTGATGCTGACCATCTGGCCCTTGTCCACCATCCCAGCCTCACTGCTCAAAACCCCATGCCCTAATCCCACAGGCCAGACCTGCATCAAGAAAAATAAAAAGCCACATTGCATTTCTCCATATGACTGCTGTGTTACATGAGAGTGGAAAAAAGAGCTGAGTTGACACCCAGCGAAATCTCCATGGTCATGCCTCGGGGTTGCCATGGGAACCACATCTCCGTGACTTAGCCTAGAGTAAGAGGAAAAGCTGAGAGGGACACACACACCTTGTTTCTGAACTTCTGTTCTTTTTCTGAATCACAGAGACCAGACCCCTTCCCTTCTTCTCTTAAAGTAACTCAAGGGATGGTCAGCTCTAAATTTGAGCAAAGGAAGGTGAGAAGGAGCAGAAGAAAAACAAAAGATAGGCCTGAAGCCAAGGGGACAGCACACCAACTAAGACAAATGCGGGCACTTAAGGTCTAGTTACAATCCTGCTCCAACCCATTAACTCGTCCAAAGAGAAACATTGTTTCTTCTCTCATGAGAAAGCAACTTAAACTGACTCCATGTTGGACTCCCTAAAAACTAAGTCTTGGTGACTTGGGGACTAGTCTAAGAATTGTTTGTTTGTTTGTTTGTTTTTGAGACAGAGTCTTCCCTTGTCACCCAGGCTGGAATGCAATGGCATGATCTTGGCTCACTGCAACCTCCGTCTCCTGGGTTCAAACAATTCTCCTGCCTCAGCCTCCCAAGTAGCTGGATTCCAGGCGTGTGCCACCCCACCCAGCTAATTTTTGTATTTTTAGTAGAGACGGGGTTTCACCATGTTGATCAGGCCGGTCTTGAACTCCTGACCTCAAATGCTCCACCCGCCTCAGCCTCCCAAAGGGCTGGGATTACAGGCATGAGCCATCGCACCCGGCCTCTAAGAATCTTATAATATCCTTTTTTTTCCGATTTTAAAATCCAAGCACATTTAAAATTTTTTGAGTCAGACCAAAAGAAGTCCCTGTTAATTTTCAGTGAAGAAACATTCCTTCTTGATGGATTTCAGATCAAACCTATTTTTTTTATACATCTAAACCTGACTTCCTCAACCACTAGAAGAGCAAGCTCCATTCTCTGCCTGTATGCAGTTGAATAGCATCGTTCAACAAGCATGTTGATCCAAAATCTTACAATGTGAACTTATTTGGAAATAGGGTATTTTCAAATGTAATTAAAATATACTTTAAGATGAAGTCATACTGGATTGAAGTGGGCCCGGAATCTAATGTCCTTAAGAAAGAAGAAAAACACACAGAGAAGGAAGTGCTGTGTGAAGTCACAGACACACAAGGAAGAAGCCGTGTTGACAAGGGAGACAGAAACTGGAAAGGTGCAGGGGCAAGCCAAGGATTGCTGGCTTCCAGGGGCAGCTAGGAAGAGGGAGGGAAGGATTCTTCCCTTGAGCCTTCTGAGGGAGTATGGGCTGTGGACACGTGGGTTTCTGGCCTCCAGAACCGTAAGAGTGCACGTCTGCTGTGTATTTTTGTTGTTGTTGTTTGTTTGTTTGTTTGTTTGTTTTTTGAGATGGAGTTTCGCTGTGTCACCAGGCTGGAGTGCAGTGGCATGACCTCAGCACAATGCAACCTCTGACTCCTTGGTTCAAGCAATTCTCCTGCCTCAACCTCCCAAGTAGCTGCGACTACAGGCGTGCACCACCACACCCAGCTAATTTTTGTATTTTTAGTAGAGATGGGGTTTCACCGTGTTGGCCAAATGGTCTCGATCTCTTGACCTCTTGATCCGCCCGCCTCAGCCTCCCAAAGTGCTGGGATTACAGACATGAGCCACCGCCCCCAGCTGCAGGTCTGCTATTTTAAGCCACCTCGTTTGTGGTCATTTGTCACAGCAGGCCCAGGAACAAAGCAGCCCAGTGGCCCCTTCCCTGATGACAAAACGTGCATATCCTGCAGGCTCTCAGGTTGATTACTGGACAATCATCAGGTCAGTTAAGCATGAAAATATCACTAGGATAGCTCAGATAATAGAATACTGTGAAAAGCAGCTTTACTTTTGAATCACAGAATTTCTTTAAGCAAAACCATCTTGGGCTGGAGTTAGAGTACCCTGCTGGAACTAAGTCCTTCTTTTGGTAACAGCATTCCAATTTCTTTTAGGGGACTTCTCTCTCCTTATTGTGTGCAGTTTCAGTGGGGTTGTCCCAGTTCCTTGATATCCCCTACCCAAGGAGCTGCCATATGGCCTAAGCTTTGCTGCCTCCACTTCTTCTAGGATTTTGTCTTGGACCAAGTGAGACCAGAAGGAAGAGCTGCAGGGGACTGTCCACCAGGACCTGCTGCCTGGATGCTGGGTGTTAACCAAGGTTAACACGGTTAACACCATGTAGGAGAACAATGGTTCTCCTACCCACCCTAAACCCCCTCATCCTCAAAGGCAGAGGGAGGATAGAAGAGAATTCCTGAGACTGATGAAATGTCACAATTACCCCCCACCCACATCCTACACACACACACACACACACACACACGGTGACATCTGTTGCAAAAATGCTGTGAAAAATACATTGTGTTTTTTTCCATGTGCTTTGTATTTAGGTCTTTAATATAAATTTATTTCAGAAATCAATACAGTGCTAGACAAGTTTTCTCATCTCTTTCTTTCTACCAGACAAAATGCATGACGTAACTTGGTGGGTTTGCCTTCCCTCCATATGAGTCTTTTGCTGTAGGTTTAGGGTTAAAGCTCCTACTCAATCATAGTGGCTATATTCGTTACCACTTGAAGTACATTTTCCCCTCTCTTTTTCCGTTGTTTTTGATCTTTGGTTTTCACTTAAAACATTTGTTATAAGATCCCTAACATCTCTTGTGGAAATAGATTAGATGTAAATTATAAATAAATAGGCATTCATAGAGAGATCAAGTGATCTCCATCAGCCTTATCAACTGAGATCCATAAGTGATAGAAATTTAGCTTCCAGAAGCATTTCATTTATTCCATGGACAAAGTTGAATTGGGATTGGGAAGAACACAGATCGCCAAATGGAATACACCCCGACCCGTCTTCCTGAATGTTGCTGGCATTTTCATGTTATCCCCAAACTCTGACACCATTACCTTCAAAGACCTGCCTTAGACCCCTGAAATAGGTCCTGCAAGTGTCCAGCAGCATTCACAAAATTAACCAGAAAAATTCCTAAGCTGACAGTCAGAGATCCAGGGGGCAAAAGGCCATACCACACCCTCGCCTCTCACCAGAAACACGTGAAAAGCACAGGTCACATTGGTGTTTTTTTGTTTTGTCCTCATATTGTTGAACTGAATCGATGTGCTCACCTGAAATAGCTGGCCCATCAGGAAGGTACTTTGTTGGGTGATTCCATTTGGCCAGAGAAAAGTGATCTTTGTTTTCCAACCCTTTCTCCTGTTCCAAGGACCTGAAAATAACACCAACACCAACTTCTCTCAAATCTGAGGAGCTATTGTACAAACTTGAATAAGTAAGTTACTCTTTCTTTGCCTTAGGGACTAGGAAAAACAAAACAAAACAAATCATAGGCAGGACTGTTAGCATAAACCAGACCAGGGACCTGAAAAGATTAATATTTTCCATGGTCAGATGAAAGATGGTACATAAATGCAAAATGGCTCACTGTACATTATTACATTTCAATTACACGTGAATTAGTTATAGAGTGACATTTTGACTGTTTCCTCTGGGTAATTCTCATAACTCCACCTGTCTGACATTTCCTTCCTCTCTCAGGTCCATATAGAACAGGTCCCACTTTGTAGGAGAGAGGCCACCCTGCAGAATTTCAAAACACACACCAGGGGAGGCCATTGCTGAGGCACATGCGGGAAGTTTCAAACACTCACAGATATCAAGAGGTTAATCGCCCCCAGGGCTTGATCATTGAAGAACTACCCATTGAAGAACAGAGAAAGTTCTTCATAAAAAAAAGAAAAAGAATTCCAAATCCTTTCACCTCCTTATAGCCCTCAGGGACAAAACCTCATTGAATAACCAAGTAGACACGTCCCTCCTGATTTGAGTGGCCACTCGGAGAAAAAGCACAACAATTAAAAGCTTAGCACCCATTGTCCAGAAGAAATGCAGAGAACAGAAAGTGTACGGGTAAGGGAGGGAAGGATGCCAAGAACAGAGATTTATAAAAAAGAAAAGGGAGAGAAAGAAAAGAAAAGGCAATGACCTCAAACAAACATAACCTTTACTGCACAGAAGCTAGTGACAGGCAGGATGTGGAGGAGGTACCCAGGCCCCATCCCCACCCTTCACTTGGGTCATCGCCAGAAGTGCAGATGGCATGTGTTTGACACTGGGCAGGCTCTAGCACCTACCTCACTGTAAGAGAACTAGCTGAAGCACAGTTTTCACCGAATGCAGATGCTTCTGTCTTGGATAGATCCAAGGGCCATTATTACCTCCCCAAAGTCCCTGAGGATCTTATTATGTGGTGAAAGGAGGAGGGACCTCGCCGCCTAACCTGGAGCTATGGTATTGTAGTGTCTTATAAAAGAGTGGTGTTAGTGCCCATCCCTGAAGCTCAGTCATCTGCAGCTCTGCCCATGGGAGCCAGTGGTTTTTGTTTTCCCCTAACGTACCCCAAGTGGCAGAGAAAAATGAAACCAGGCCCCCAGATATGTGCCAGAAAGGGTCCTGCGTATTCTATACACTCACCCCAGCCTCCCTCTCACCTACCTCCAAACTCAAATATTACCTAAAGCCTAACGTTGAGCTTAAAAATGCATGCAGAGGCCGGGCGCAGCGGCTCACGCCTGTAATCCAGGCAATTTGGGAGGCCAAGGTGGGTGGATCACCTGAGGTCAGGAGTTCGAGACCAGCCTGACCAACATGGTGAAACCCTGTCTCTACTAAAAATACAAAAAATTAGCCAGGTGTGGTGGTGCATGCCTGTACTCCCAGCCACTCAAGAGGCTGAGACATAAGAATAGCTTGAACCTGGGAGGCAGAGGTTGCAGTGAGCCGAGACTGCGAGATTGCATTGCACTGCACTCCAGCCTGGGCGACAAAGTGAGACAGTCTCAAAAAAAAAAAAAAAAAAAAGCATGCAGAATTTACATCCTACAACTTCATAATGTATCTTTGTATCTTTGTTTTACTATCCAAATATTTCAAATTACCTACCACTAAGTAAACATATCCCATGAAGATATACCAAGCTTAGCCTGTGGTTTAATGTACTTCCCTGGGCCACCACTTCAAAAGGGGACCATGTACCCCAGTTTGAAGAGCCTGGTCTTAAACAATCACTTCTCTTGAAGAAGCAAAGACCTGGCAATCAGTCTGTAGACACATCTGAGCAGCTGCCCTATTTGTGTGTGTGTATGTGTGTATGTGTGTGTATGCATGTGTATGTGTGTGTGCATGTGTGTGTGTGCATGTGTGTATGTGTGTGCTGTGTGTATGTGTGCGTGTGTGTATGCATGTGTGTATGTGTGTGCATGTGTGTGCGTGTATGCATGCGTGTGCATGCGTGTGCATGTGTGTGTGCATGTGTGTATATGCATGTGTGTATGCATGTGTGTATGTGTATGCATGTGTGTGTATGTGTGTGCATGTGTGTATGTGTGTGTGCATGTGTGTATGTGTGTGTGTGTGCGTGTGCATGTGTGTGTGCATGTGTGTGTGTTGTTATTGTTAACAATAAAGGTTTTTGACAGATGAGCAACATTCTTATCACTCAGTGCAAAAGCTGAAGCTTCTTCAGTGCTCATGTTTAATCCCCCCAATTTTAAAGTGGCCTCCAAAACTTTGCATCATCTGGCTCCTCCCCAACTCTGCAGCCTCATCTCACATTGCTGTTGTCCCGTTGATAGCTGTGTTCTAGCTCAGCTTCGACCCCCATCCTAAAAGTAGTGTCTGCCTTGCTGCAAATTCTTCTACTTCAGTAAGAAGTAAATGGTTCCACTCTTGGTCCATGTGAATCTGAGACCCTTCTCTAATAACCTGCCTAGGATCTCTGTCTAGGACTTGCTCTCTCAGGGGGACTTCCTTGCCACCAGTCCTTCCTCCTGCCACCCTCACTCTACAAGATACTATGGTTGCCCTCTCCAAGACCCATCCCCTCTTTCCCCTCCTTCAGAGCAGCTATGCCAGTCTCATACAATTGATCCCATCCTAGCTCCAGGATTTAAATTAATCATTTAGATTAATGCGTAATCCATTTCCTCTTTCTACAGTTCAAAGATAGGCACTTGACTTCAGATCATGCAGTCAGACAAAAGCCCAGGACTTTTGTTTGATGGTTAGAGGAGGAACAATCAGCTCTCTTTCTTTCTCAGCACATGGAACAGCAAAGCAAGTATCCTAGAGACTCTTAGCAGACAACGTGTAACCAAAGTAGGAGCCTGTCTTAGGGTAAAGCTGACACACAGAAGGCGGAGCAGAGAGAGCAAAGGAAACTGGGTCATTGGTTACATCCCCAAGCTACTGAATTGAAACAATGTTAAGACTTACTCTCTAAAATATTTATTTCCAAGAGTCAGCACCCATCATCCTTATTTAAGGCAGTTTTATTTGGGATACAATAATAGATACATTTCCTGCCCATATAGAGTTTACAGTTCAGTCAGGGAGAGAGAAAAGTACATAATACCATGAACTGGAGGAAATATTGGATACTAAATGGCATAGAGCTGGACCACTTAATCCAAACTCGGAATCTAAATGTGGAAGAACTGACCAAGATGTGATGGGTGGAAAGCAGGGAATATGATGGGAGGAAGAAAAATAAGAGAAAGGGTATGGAGTTCCACACAGAGAGAACAATATGTGCAAAGCCTGGAAGTAAGAGAGAACATGGTGCATTCATGTGACTAAAAATCATCTCATGATTTGGTCCTGTCTTAAAAAGCAGCCTCCAAGAGCTTGGTTATCCTGGATCCTGCCAGTCTCCATCACTTTTAAATTAATTGCAGCCTGATGGCCAGACCCTGGTGCCATCTTCAGCCAAAGGTGTTCTTGAATGAGCAGTACTAGTAGAGGCAGCAGGTACTGACCTACTGGAAGCCACACACAGGTATCTACACCCCACCCCGTACTCTTAGTACTAGCCTAAGACTTCCGGCAATCCACCTGCTCCCAATCCTCCTTACCAGCCAGGATTTGCATATGAAGTTATCAGGTCAGAGAATTCCGGTGGTACCCAGTGATAGTCTATCTTCATCATTCGTGGATTCCATATTTGCAAATGCACCTATTTGTAACCCCAAAGTCCGTACTCATGCTGACGCAGGACAGGCAAGCCCCAAAATTGAGGCTTAGCCCAGGAGGGTTCTTGGCTTCATCCAGGAAGAATTCAAGGGTGAACCCACAGTGTTAAACAGCGACTCTGAAGCAGCAGAGTGTACAGCAGCAGCAGAGGTACTGTTTTTTGCGGAACAAGAATACTCTATATGCTGTGTGCCCTGAGTATCAGCTCAGAGGCAGTTCTGCACTCATATTTATACCCACCTTTAACTATATGCAAATTAAGGGGCGGTTTATGTAGACAATTCTAGAATGAGAGTGGCCAATCCTGGGTTGCCATGCTAAGGGGCAGTAACTTTTGGGTGTCGCCATGGAAATGGTAAACTGACAGGGCACACTGGCCGGTGTACCTCATGAGGAGATGCTTCTGCCCCCAACCTGTTTTAGCTAGTCCTCAATTTGCTCCAGTGTCCAAGCCCCACCTCCAGAGTCAAGTTCCGTCTCCTACCTCAATGGCTCTTTCAAGGTAATTCCTGGACATGCACAAACAGGTGAAATATTTGAGGCCCACGATGCATGCATTCCCAACTGAGGTCAAGCAAGGTGATGCCCTGCCTTCTTGTTTTGTCTATCATACTGTAAACAAATGTCCTTTTTGCAGTCCATTTAATGCCATGTTTTTTGCATTTTTATGCTTTTCTTGGTGATTTAATGGTTTAAAATGGTCCCCAAGCAGATTGCTGATGTGTTATCTAGTGTTTTAAGTGCAAGAAGGCTGTGATGTGCCTTAGGGAGCAAACCATTTGTGTGTTAGATAAGTTTCATTCAGGTAGAGTTATAATGCTGTTGGCTATGAGTTCATTGTTAATGAACCAACAGTGTATTTAAATATGGTGTCTTTAAGCAGAAACACCCACAAAACAAGTTTGTATATTGATCATTCACAAAAATATTGTGACTAGTGGCTCACAGAAACTGAAGCCTATATTTCCCCTAGAAGCAATGGCTCAGTTTTGCTAATTCAATGCTCATAGCCACTTTATAAATAGAATGTAATTACTGCAAATAATTAGAATAGAGCTGGGTGCAGTGGCTCACGCCTGTAATCCCAGCACTTTGGAAGGCTGAGGTGGGTGGATCACTTGAGGTCAGGAATTTGAGACTAGCATGGCCAACATGGTGAAACCCCATCTCTACTAAAAATACAAAAATTAGTCAGGCTTGGGGGCAGGTGCCTGTAATCCCAGCTACTTGGGAGGCTGAGGCAGGAGAATCACTTGAACCTGGGAGGCGGATGTTGCAGTGGGCCAAGATCACTCCACTGCACTCCAACCTGGGCAACAGTGTGAGACTCCATCTCAAAAAAAAAAAAAAAAAAAAAAAAGAAGAGACTCTATAGACTTATACAGGACAGGACTAGGGGTGGTCTCTCTAGCTCAAACAAAGGTGTGATCCTATATGAGTTAGTATAAGTGCACTGCTGTAGCAAACAGACCCCAAAATTCATGACAATCCTATGGACGTTTACTTCTTAGTCTTGTATCATTTTTGAGCTGGTGAATGAGCCAGCCCAGGGGCTCTCCTCCACTCTGCTCTACAGGAATCAAGGCTGGATGAACACTGTCATTATAACACATGGCTTTCAAGGGTACCCTGTGCATTATCCTTATTTGCCTAAGACAGTAAAGAACACATAGGAGTGAACCTGAGATGTTTTGATGAACCAGGCCTGGAGGTGGTGCCCATCATTCCTACTCATGTTCCATTGGCTACCACTCAGTCACATGACCATGCCTAGCTGCAAGGGAGTATGGGAAATATATTTTGTATGGATGACAAGGGAGACGAGAACAAGATGGCCTTGGCTGCTAGCAGTCTCTGCCACAGTTTGTTTTAAGGACTCATATTGAGTCAGGTTCAGACCAAGACCTACAATTGCCCCAGGAAGATCCATAATTTGCTCCCTTCCCTTCAGTTCTTCTTGAAATTTTTGTTCAGCATTTATTTTGAGGTGAAACAGAGATCTGTGGGGGTGATTGGAAGGAAGAGAGTTGCCCCTTGACCTGTGGAAATACTGTTCAAACCCTTACTCTGATTCTTGAGCCACCTTCAGAGGTGATAAAGATGTCTAGCCCCTCCCTAAGGCTACCTCAAAGTGTAGCATTTTCCTAATCCTCACGTAAATCAGCACCTACGGGTGCAACACAGCTCAAAGCCAGAGGGAGAATCCATAAGCCCTTATCAAGAGTTACCTCTGGGACCAGGTATCTCCCATGGGAAGTACTCAGGTCTGTAAGCCCAAGGCCTCACTGTGAGGACACCTGGCTCTGGGCAGGGCCTTCTGGGACCTCAAGGCTTTGCCTGGCCAGATCTGACTTTAGCTGTCTGGGCCCCTTCCCACACCATGAGGCCAGCTGTGAGGGACCTGTGTGAGAGGGAACCTTGGTAAAAATGGCCTGAGCAAGAGCAGGGAATGGGGGACTTCATCTCCAGCCCGCATCCTGAGAAGGAGGAAGCCTCTGTGCTTTGGAAGCATTTATAAGACTTTGTGTAACCAAGGGCCACCCTTGAGGTTTCCTTGCCTTATTGCTCCCACATACCCTACTGAAAAAAAAAGGGACAAAGACAGGTGATGGCTCACGAAATGGAGCTGCAGAATCTGTCCTCCCCCTCTTGTATCTCTCCTGGCTGCCAACAGAAAGACTCCTGTTCTATAAGCCAGCAGCTTCATGAGGTCTGAAAATAATCCCTGAAAGAAAAAAAAGTAATAATAACAATATTATGTTGAATGCCAGGCACTATGATTAACATGTGATATATGTTGTTGTATTGAATTCTCACCATGACCTGTGAGTTAGGTACTTTAATCTCCACCCAGTTAATGAGGAAACTAAGGCTCAAAGGAGTTAAATAACCTTGTCCATGTTCACACTGCCAGAAAGAGGTTGAGTCAGTACCTCCTGTCTGACTGCAAAGCCTGTATTCTTAACCTCTGAGCTCTGTGACCCTGATAACATTGGTCACTTGCTGGGTGGGGCAGAGGAAGCCCTAGCTGCCTACACCTTCTTGTACCTGCAGCCCTTCCCCTCCACAGCTGGGACCTGTCTCAGGCTGACAACCTGCCAGAGTGACCCATCACCTCTACATATTCACCACACTCTTTCTGAACCTTTTCTGTCCAGTCAGCTTCCAAGCCTCTCTTGGGCATGAGTTTCATCCCAGTGCACCTGATAAGTCCCAGGTGCTCTGCCTGAGCCTGCCCACCAGCTGCCTGAGCTCCACCATTGAAAAGAGGTGTCTCCAGGATGTTAAAGGGAGCCTCGGGTGGCAGAGCTCTCTCCTTCTTGTGCACTTCACTTCAGGTGACTCTTGAAGAGACTTGGAATTGTACCACATCTCAGGACTGGTGGCTTCTGCTCACCTCCCCACTGGAGATCAAAAGGTAATATGCTCCATCAACCACAGAGGTTCATTACTAGCCCAGTATCAAGCCAAGGGTCTGGCCAATGCTTTCACCTGGCAGACTGCCATCAGAGGCTGCTTGGGCAACACAGACATGCAGCCTTGATCTTCACCTGTGCAAACAGCCTACGTGGCACAGCTGAGCCCCAGACATGAGGGATGGACCTGGAGTTTCTCTTTTTTTTTTTGAGACAGAGTCTCACTTTGTCACCCAAGCTGGAATGCAGTGGCACAATCTTGGCTCACTGCAACCTCTGCCTCCCTGGTTCAAACGATTCTCCTGCCTCAGCCTCCCGAGTAGCCGGGATTACAGGCACCTGCCACCATGCCCAGCTAATTTTGTATTTTTAGTAGAGACAGGGTTTCGCCATGTTGGCCAGGCTGGTCTCGAACTCCTGACCTCAAGTGATCCACCTGCCTTGGCCTCTCAAAGTGCTGGGATTACAGGTGTGAGCCACTGTACCCGGCCAGAGTTTCTCTTGACCCCACCCACACCTCCTGGCTGCTTGTCCCAAGACAACAGCTTCCCTACTCCAAATCTACATTTTCCCTCTTTTATTAAGGGAAAGAATAGTCCCTAGGGGTGTGCCACTGTAAAATTCTCTGGAGGAAATAAAGAAAGTAATAACATGTTAAACTATGGATTCTTCGGTAAGTTTCTATGGGCAGCCTTACTTGATGCCATTGGCAATTGTTTCTTGGTTCATTCTCTCCTGGGGCAATCACCAGGTCTGGCCTCATAACAATCCTTTTCCTACTTTTTTTTTTTTTTTCCTGAAAACCAATCCTATGAATTGGTGTGGGAAGGAACCAGTGAAAATCTCCTTGTGAAGGCTCATCATTTAGGATGTTTCTTCTTTAGAGTCCTCCTATTTGGGGGCTTTCTTGGGTAGGGGGAGTGGGGTGTGCACCAGCCAAGCCTCTATCAGGGGGTTGCCAAGCCGTCTCAAACTCTCCCCAGCCGGTTCTTTCCCCGCTGTGGGGCTTTTGGCAGAGAAGGGCCAGAGGGTGCCATTAGCTGGCTTCCCAGGAGCCGTGCGTCCTGCCTGGCTTCCCAGCTGGGTTGGATGGAGGGACATCGTGGTTAACAGATTTGCCAAAAATCATAGAGCTGGGGCTGGCTCTCCAGAGGTCAGGGATATTAAGAGCAAGCCAAAGGGCACAGAGTCCTGTTGCAAGACTGGAAGCAGCCAGGGACCCAAAGAAAGTGCCTGGGGCTAAGCATCGTCGAGCTCATCCTAGGCCTGTCTCCACTCCCTGGAGGACGGTGAACCCATCACCACACATCCCAGGGCCTCGGTCTCCTTGTCTGTAAAGCCAGCAGGTTGGGTCATCTGAGTGGAATAGATACTAAATTAGTCTAAGGTCCCTTCCAATGTTGTGATTCTCTGACTACTTTACAATTTGGGGGTCTGAAGACACCCCTCTACCTTTTTCCATTTGCAAGGTGTGCTGGGGCCACAACAAACCCAACCTCAGGTGCAGCGCCAGGTCCCGCCTCGTTTGTGCCTGTTCTTCCTCACATGACCTTTTGCCCCCGCCTAGCCTGTGCCAGGGCAAATGGAATTCAGACTGCTCTGATTCATTGACCTCAAAGGCAACCAAAAAAATGGCCTTGCAAAGGGGATCTGATGCCTCCAAAGCCGTGACGAGCCTTCCAGGTGGGTGGCTTTTGAAACTGCTCTCCTTCCTTGGGACCACAAAGCTTTATTTGACCAACATTCAAGTTCAAAAACTTTATTTGCCTGGAGCAAACCCAGGAGACTTACTCTTGGAAAACTACCTTCTCCCAGGCTTCACCAGACACCTCACAGGGTGGGAGTGTGGGGTGAAACACATCACACCCATGGCCCTGTGACATTCTCATCTTCCCAGCAGGGAGAACCGGTCCCTGCCAGTGTCGAGAAGTCAAAACAAAGCTCCTTTTCCATGTGCTTTTTCTTCCTCAATGGCTTAGACTGTAAAGTCATCAGGAAGCATGGTCTAGTGCTCCAAGCTCCAGACAGACGGCTTGACCTCTGTCCTGGCGCCCTGGGCTGGCCTGGGCCAGACACCGCACCCCCAGGACTGTTTTCCCATCTGCAAAACAACTCGGGCCTCTCTAAGCCAACACTACCTCTCACTGCAAAACACAGCCCCCTCCCTCCTCCAGGGGCAGTTGGCCTTAGAAACCAGCCCATCTTTAGGGGAAGAAATCCTTATGGGGCAGGCGGCAGCAGGGCATAGCACAGAGGAAGAAAAGAGTTCATCGTGCGCTGGAGGCTGAGGGTGTTGGGGGTTTGAGGGAAGGTGATGGTTTGGGGGAGCGTCTTTTCCACTCTCCTGGATCTGAGGTGGAAGGTCTCTGCTCTGGGCTCTGAAACGGGATGGTGTCATGTGCAGATAAACAGAGAAGCCTATTGTAGATGGCTGTTGGGTGTCTCCAGGGATCAGTAACACCTTCATCAGAGAGGATGCTTCTGTAAGCATTCTACTTCCCTTCCCCACCCCCACCCCTTAAATAAGCAGCTGTTTCCTCCGCCCCTGTCCCTGGCCCCTCGCCGCTGCTGGGTCATCCTGCCAACCCCGGGCTGCAGACTGACTTACCTAGTTTCAGAACTTAACTTGCCTGGATGCACTCCGTCTTCTTCTACTTTACAAGGTCTCTTTTACATCTGCCCTTTACATAAGACCCTGCCTGACCCAGCCTCGAAGGAAAACCCATCCCCCCACCCGTGCTGGTGTTTGGAGCTCAGAAGTAGCCCTCCCAGTGACCCCCTGCCAGGCCTCTGGTGAGCATTTTCATCTGATCCTTAATCCGCCTCCTGCCACCTTGGCCAAACACACCCAACCAGGCTGCCTGTGGTAGGCTCACAATATCCCTGGCTCTTATGCTATCAGATAAGAAACTTCACATGCCCCAGCATCACTGACACCAGGTCTGAGGTTTTATTTGGGAAGAGGAAAGATTAATAGATGCTGGGGCAAAGAAGTCCAAGTATTTGAAGAGACAGACACCCTTGCTCTCCAAAGTAAACCGTTGTACACAATTGCATGGCCCTTAGATGAGATCTGAGAGAGTAGTTCTCACCCCTGGCTGCAAGTTAGAATCCAGGCTGCTCCCCAGACAGATTACATGGGAATCCGTAGGATTGACATCCAGGCATTGGCTGGCTTTGAGAGCCACTGATCTAAAACAATGCCCCATTTTGCAGTTTGGGAAAGAGGGGAGAAGTGATTTGCCCCAAATTAGATGGTCATTTGGGACAGAGCCCTGAGCAGAACCTGTGTCTCCTAACTTTACATTCCTATCTCTTCCCATCATGATTTTCCCTCTGGTCGCTTTAGAAGAGAGGGTCTTAAACTCAGAGGCACATTAAACCTATGTAAGGGAACTACTGAAATATACAATGCCAGGCTTCCTGAAATTCTGGTCTCATTGCTCCGGAGTGTAGCCTGGGTATAAGTATTCAAAGTTCCTTGAGTGACTCTCATGTGTAGTCACAGTTGAATGAAGCCCTGCTTATTAAAGGCTAAACCCCTTCAGAGAGACAGAAAGACTGAGAGAGGGAGAGGCAAAAAAAAAAAAATAATACTGTGGAGGCTGGAGGAAGGAAAATTGTTCTTGTAGGAGGAATCTTGGGATCCATCAAAACAAATGATGCTTGAGCTGGATCTTGAAGCTTTCAATACTTGGAAGTGGCAAACAGCTTTTCAGGAGAGGGAACCGTGTGAGCAGCGTCCCCCAGGAAGGGATATGGGAGATGGGACAGTTAGGAATTGGACAGAACAGGCAAATTGGGACCAGCGTGTGGGAAGCTTTCAATTCACATGGGAGTGTGGCATGAACTGTCCAGCCCAGTGACTTCCAAACTCTCGCACACATCAGACTCACCTAGAGGGCTTGAACGCAGGCTGCCGGGCCCACCCTCAGAGTCCCATATTCAGTGGGTCTGCGTGGGACCTGGGAATTTGCATTTCTAACAAGTTCCCAAGTAATCGTGATACTTCCGGCCTTCCCAAGACACTTTAAGAACCACTGTGCTAGGCAAAGGGAAATCCCAGGAAGTTTCAGATTTGAATCACTTGGAGAAACATATACACACACAGAGAGAGAGAGAGAGTAGGGAGGAACTTCAGTAGGACAGGAACACTGATCTGGCATAGAGAGAAAATCACAGAGCAGAGCAGCCCAGAAGCGCATGCAGGCGCGGCCACTGCATTACAGAAGAAGAAAGGAGGCCCGAAGAGGGCCCGGGCAGTGGGACTGGGGAGGAAGGCGGGTTTACAGCAAGTTCAGTGGACGCGTGCACAGGACATGGTGACTGACTGGATTTGGAGGGAAGTAGGGCAGAGTCCAGGGGGAGTGACTTCTGGAAGCAGAACAGCCAAGGGGGTGCAATTCACTGAGCCGAACGGGCAAGAGGAGGGGCAGGTGTGGGAGCAGTGCCAGGGGCTTGGCTGGAACATGAACCCGAACCCTGTTCTCAGGTGCCTGGCAAGAAGACCTCTGACTTGGGCCTAGAGTGTGCCAGAATGAAGACGGCCCTGCTCCCTAACAGTTGCTGTTTCTGCCCTAAAACTCACCTCCCAGGGGTGTTGGGTGGCAGGCGGGGGAGAGCTGAGCCAGGGTGGTGACCCATCGTGAGGTGCTTTGGGGCTGCGTCCCCTCTAGTGGACAGGCACTGGAGTCCAGCAGAGCTCTGTCTCTTCAGGTCCAGTCAGGGAGGCAAAGGAATCAAGCATTGCCATGCACTCACACTGGAACCCGCTTTGCTCCAAGCCCTCCATCTGCCTTCAGTTACAGGATGTGCTCCCTGAAGCAGTAGTTCCCAATCTTGGCTGCACGTTAGAATCGCCTGGCGAGCTTCAAAAATGCCTGCTACCTGGGCTGCACCCCACACCAATTAAAACAGCATTTCTGGGATAGGACCAAGGCATCTGTATATTATAAACCTCCACAAGTGCAGCCAGGGTTGAGAATTGCACCCCGAAGGGTGTACATAGGTAGCCCTCAAATAGCAGATTTATGAAAATTACATTTCCTCCTTAAGGAAATGGTTTGAATGTGTCTAACACCGCCCTACCCCACCCCACTGCCCTCCTCCCACACAAGTGACCTGATCAAGGGACAGGCCTGGCCTTCTGAGCCACAGGCCTGCCTTGCAGGCTGGCAGGAGCTGTTGCCTATAGTCAGAGTTTATGGAAGCTGAGGCCACTTCCTGGAAGGAGGAGACTTGAAAGCCCAAAGTCCAACGAATTTCATTCAAGGAGGCTGGACCAAACAGAGACAGAGGGGGTAGAGAGTGTATGGGGAGAGATGGGGCCTTATTCAGAGCCAAAACCAAGAGGGAGGATTTAAGGACCAGAGAGACCCTGTGGGAGGAACAGGGATGTGGGTGACAGGAGGTGATCTGCATGAGATTTGGCAACACCAGGCAGCTCCTCACAGCTGTTCTTCAGGCATCCCAGGAGTGTGGGCAAGCCAGGAGAGGACAGAGTGCACCGGGGCTACCTCTCCTGGTCCTCCTCCCCGACTCAGAGTCCCAGGGGCAGATACAAAAGGCAAAGAGAGAAAAGGGCTGGGAAACCAACAGCATGAGGAAGCTGATGAGGGCAGGGAATGGGGGCATTCACTCCAGGGGCATATCAGGATTGAAGGGGGCCTGAAGTTTGCACAGTTGGGAGGGCTGTCTTTAAGAAAAAGAACATGACATGGCAAATGCAACTTGAGGTCCTGGGCCTGGGAAAGAGCCTGAAGTGAGGGGTCCTGGGGTGAACCTGCTCTGGCCAATAGGCTAATAATCTGGGCTAAGACTCATTGCTAAACCGTGCCCCACTTTCCAGGGTCTTGCCTTGTCTGGGACACCCCATCAGACTAGGAGGCCAGTTGTCCATTTTATTTCTGGGAAACGAAGGAGTAAAGGAGTCTCTGTGGTCAGTCACCCAACACGCGTTGGTGGCCGTGCCACAAAGAGGTCCTCCGTGCAGTGCTGCAGGCCATTCACTCCCTCCACAGCTTCATATTAGGATCTACCATGTGTCAGGGCCGGGCTAGGCATGGCACGCATCACAGGGTCTCAGATAGGGCGCAGCTCTCACAAATGACAAGTTCTCTGCCTGGGAGGCATGCAGGCCTCTGTGAAGGCAGGACAGAGAGAGGGAGGTAACTGCCTCAGGCAGTTAGGGTGGGCTTCCTGGAGGCTGCAAACAGAGAAGGGAGCCTGAGAGAACCTGCCTAAGTTCACCAGATCAGGGAGAGTTGGTCTTGCAGAGGGAACAGCCACAACAATATTTATTAAGCACCTACTATGTACCAAGTTTAGATCTGTTATATAAAGTCAATGAGTCTGTTCAACAACATCACAAATTGGGTCCTAGTATTATCCCCATTTTACAGATAAGAAAGCTGAGACACAGTGAGGCTAAGGATCTTATTCTCAGTCTCACAGCTACTTAAGTGGTGGGTATGAATTTTAAACCCAGGTAGTCTGGCTCTAGAATCCATGCGTGCACAAAGCTATGACGAGACATCCTGGAACACTTTGAGAACTGCAAGATACTCAGTGTCCCACACACAGGAAGCACAGGGAAGACAGGCAAGCAAGGGGGCCAAAAGGGCAGGAAGGATCCTGGAGGGCCTAGAAGAACAGATAAAGAGGTTTGGGTAAGGAACGCTACCCAAAAGAGGCAGGGAAGCTACTGAAGGTTTTTAAGCAAGAGCAACAGATCTACGCTTTAGAAAGGTTGCTGTGGGCCGGGCGCAGTGGCTCACAACTGTAATCCCAGCACTTTGGGAGGCCAAGGCAGGTGGATCTCTTGAGGTCATGAGTTCGAGACCAGCCTGGCCAATATGGTGAAACCCCTTCTCTACTAAAAATACAAAATAGCCGGGTGTGGTGGCAGCCACCTATAATCCCAACTATTCAGGAGGCTGAGGCAGGGAAATCACTTGAATCCAGGAGGCGGAGGTTGCAGTGAGCCGAGATCACACCACTGCACTCCAGCCTGGGCGATAGAGCAAGACTGTCTAAAAAATAAAAGGTTACTCTGTATAGAAGATGTGATTAGAAATGATAGATTAGAAGCCGTCAGATGGGAGCAGGGGATCTCTGCATATGCTATTGCAGAGTCCTGGCAATTGTGAATGGAACATCAATTGAAGCCAAGGCACCAGCTTGAAGTTCCTCTGGTTCCAAAGACCACCTTTAACAGCCTGTGGGTGGAGTAGACAGAAGAGGATCAATCTTATGCCATATGATGTGTTTTGGACTTGGAGCCCAGAGATCTGAGTGCAGTGCCCTCCCTCCCACTGGCCACCTTCGTGGACAAAGTCAAACCCCTTCACCTCCCTGGGCCACAATTTGCTCATCTGGAAAATGAGCATAATAATTCGTGTTCTGTCTGACTCATTCGATTTTTGCGAAATTCAAATAACATCATGTATGCAAAAAATGGCCCATGACTATTATTGACAATGCAATGGAAGCTTGAAATGTCTGCACAATTAACTGATGGCCTGGAGGCCAAGAATCTTCTGTTCCTGGGCTCAAGTGGTATCCTTTGCCTTGGCAATAAGCTCACAGCTGAGGCAGGTCCTTCCCACCTCTACCGACCCACCGAAGTCCTTCCCTTTCTTCAAAGCACAGCCCAAATACCGCCTCCTCCAGGAAGCCTTTCCAGAGCCATTCTTCAAGCCCCCAGCTGGAAATGACCTGTCCTTCCCCTGAAGAATGCTGCTTTCTGCTCTACTCTATGTTCCATCTGGCTGCAGTTGCTTCTGCATTCCCTCCTTCCCTCCCCATGAGCTGCCACAGGCTGCTGTCTTTCTTTTTTTTTTTTTTTTTTTTTTTGAGACAGAGTTTCACTCTTGTCGCCCAGGCTGGAGTGCAGTGGCTCGTTCTCAGCTCACTGCAACCTCCGCCTCCTGGGTTCAAGCAATTATCTTGCCTCCATCTCCCGAGTAGCTGGGATTACAGGTGCCCACCACCACTCCTGGCTGATTTTTTGTATTTTTAGTAGAGAAGGGGTTTCGTCATATTGGTCGGGCTGGTCACGAACTCCTGACCTCAGGTGATCCGCCCGCCTCGGCCTCCCGAAGTGCTGGGATTAGAGGCGTGAGCCACCGCACCCCGCCAGCTGCTGCCTTTCTTATTCCTCTTTCCATCTTCCACTTATCCTATGTGCCAGCACAAAGGATACTCAGTGCCTTTTGGTGGCAAGATTGAAATACAGAGCAACTGAGTGAGTGGGCTTTGGACCCACAGAGAAGTCTGGGGAGACAGCAGCCCTCAGCCGGTGAAAAGGACAAGGCATGGAAGGGCCAGAGGCTTGACAGCTTCCTGCATCCTTCCAAAGTCCACTCTCCTCCAAAGACAAGCATAGAAATAATAATAAAGTAACTGTCTTCACTAACCATGATTAAGTACTTCTTCTGTGACCATTTGCTAAGTGCTGGGGCAGAGTTGAAATTCAAATCCTTCTGGCTTAAGGACAACTTCATATTGCGTCTCATGAATGAGAGGATGACTGGTTCTTGGAGGTGTAAGGAAATAGCAGGCATGGTGAGGGAGGGCTTCTTTCCTCTGCATTGTAGGGGCTGGAGTCTGAAAATCCACAAGAGACCCTGGAATCAGTGGTCCTGCTTGTTCAGGCTTCCTCAGCCTGGAGAGTGAAGTATGAGTGACGGGTCCCCTGAGAGAAGAGCGGATGGCCACAGCATCTACAACCAGCAGTGCCCAGTGCAGGAGGAACAGCGGCTTTGCGAGCTTGTGGCTCTTCCAGACATTTCCTTATCAGCTTTCTCCTGCAAGAATCTGGGCAATCAACTGTGTTACAGGTGCCCAGCTTGATAGAAACCCTGCTTATTAAAAAAGGGTGGGGTGTAGTGGCAGTTACGCCAGTGAACTTGGCTTTGGAAATGGAGGCCTGCAAGATGACCTGTTATTGAGCCTTGAAGCCGGGGCCTGGGGCCTGCTCCCAGGGCGGGAGGACTGAGCCCAAGTGGGCAGCTAATGGGACAATTCAAACCTTGGTGGGATGCAGAAGCAGAGATCCAAAATGACCCCTACACATCACTGGAAACCCTCCAGGATCTGCCAACTACTTCTCCTTTCTGGTTGGGCCACCAGTGGCTTTTTCTTCACCCAGAGCAGTAACTATCTGAACAAGTTGTTTTAATTAATTCTTCAGAGATGTGGATCTTGAAACAAAAGTAAAAGATCCCTCCCTCCCTCTGAGAATGAACTTATGAAAGATACAATGTCTACTGTACAAATATAGGCAGTATAGAAATTATAAAAGATAAAGAGAAAAACTTATCCATAATTCTATCCTACACAGAAAGAGAACCCATGTATGTATGTGTGTATATATATATATATATATATATATATATATATATATATATATTTTTTTTTTTTTTTTTTTTTTTTTTTTTTTGAGACAGAGTCTTGCTCTACCACCCAGGCTGGAGTGCAGTGGCATGATCTCGACTCACTATAACCTCCGCCTCCCGGGTTCAAGCAATTTTTTTGCCTCAGTCTCCCAAGTAGCTGGGATTACAGGCGCCCACCTGGCTAATTTTATACTTTTGTAGAGATGGGGTTTCACGATGTTGGCCAGGATGGTCTCGAACTCCTGGCCTCAGGTGATCTGCCCGCCTTGGCCAGCCAAAGTGCTGAAATTACAGTCATGAGCCACCGCACCTGGTCGCCCTACTAATAATTTTTTAACCCCTCTTTCCTGGGCCTGTTTCTGTGTATTTTAAAATATCTACTTGATCTCACCATGTGGATGAAGTTTTCTGTCTTGCCATTTTCACTTAATAACACAAGTATTTGTCATGTTCTAACAACTTTGAATACAGATATTTTAATGGCTGCATAAGAGTCCTACCATATATTATAATTTACTTAACTTTCCCCATTGTTAGATGTTTAGGTTGTTTTCTGTTTTGATTGTCATACATAATACTATAACTTTTAAAAATAAAATGAATCAATAATTCAAAAACAAAAACAAAAAACAATTTGGGTTGTTTTAGGATATGTCCTCCTGTCCCTCCCCTCAGCTGCTTGAGAGAAGATGGGACCCAAGACAGAAGAAGGTGTGAATGCGCAGGAGAAAACCCACAGCCTGCGAGAGGAGGGGGAAGCCGATCCCCGCCTGGCTGATCCCAGACTCCTCTGCCGGCCCTGTTGACATTTGATGAATGCTTCCTGCGAAGATGTTTACCCAGGAGGAAATTCATCATGCTTCCCCTTCCTACCACGAGGGTGGGAAGAGGGGCTCCATTGGTCCCATAAATTCCAGCCACTGTCTGAGCTCACCACCTCATCTCCCTGGGTGCCCCCGAAGGTGTGAGACAAAGGCATCAGACACAGAAAAGCCTGTGCCTGGATGTGGAGAAGCAGCCAAGAGGGGCATGTCTGTAGACACCCAAGTCTACTTGTCACTTTCATCTCCTGTTTTCTTTTTCCTCCATTTAAATTAAGTAGCTGATTGTCCTTGTTTTATCCAGGAAGCCCTAAAGGACCCACTGGCCTTTTTGTTTTTTCTTCCCTTACTGGACAAGGAGACGGGGAGCCAATGTAGTGGCTGGATCTTCAATCGTGGGAGCCGAGGTGTCTGTGGCCCTGGAAACACCATTTGTCTCCCAGCAATTGGGCCTCTTAGTTCCACTTTCAGTTGCACTGCCGTCTTCTCTAGGGAGGCAGTTGGGGCCAAGCACAGTGGCTCACCCCTGTAATCCAAGCACTTTGGGAGAACGAGGCAGCTGGATCACCTGAGGTCAGGAGTTCGAGACCAGCCTGACCAACACGGTGGAACCCTGTCTCTACTAAATACAAAAGATTAGCTAGGCGTGGTGGCGCATGCCTTTAATCCCAGCTACTTGGGAGGCTGAGGCAGGAGAATCGTTTGAACCTGGGAGACGGAGGTTGCGGTGAGTCAAGATCATGCCGTTGCCTGGGCAACAAGAGTGAAACTCTGCCTCAAAAAAAAAAAAAAAAAAAAAGATAGGCAGTAGAAGTATTGAAGGCTTTGATATCAGGGGCCACCACAGCCGGTTCAGCGTCAGCTCTTGCTCACTCTAACCTCCAGCAGGTCCGAGAATTACTCAGAGCCAAGGCTTCCTTGTCTGTGAAACAGAGGCAGCAATACCAACTGCGGCAGTTTCCTGGGAGGGCCACGTAACAGAACGCACGGACAAATGCTTTGAAATAGTAAAATAACATGCAGGTGCTTGTTTTATTTAAGCCAAAGAAGGTGGCCAAGTACCCCATCTATAAAATGAGTATACTGTAAGAATATCTGCCTCCCTCTTTCCTGAATGTCAGAAAGACAGAAGAGATACTATTTGCAAAAGTGTCCAAGACCTTGAGTCGGTTTTCCATTTCACCAACATCCAAACAATCAGAAAATAAAACACACCCAGAACTTGTTTCAGTTCTAAACGATGACCACCTCAGCCATCAATAATACCCTGAAGCAAAGCACCAAAGACTAAATTACTTTTTTTTTTTTTTTTTTTTTGGAGACAGAGTTTCACCGTGCTGCCCAGGCTGGAGTGCGGTGGCGCCATCTCTGCTCACTGCAACCTCCGCCTCCTGGGGTCAGGTGATTCTCCTGCCTCAGCCTCCCAAGCAGCTGAGATTATAGAAATGCACCATGATGCCCAGCTAATTTTTGTATTTTAGTACAGACAGCCTTTTGCCACATTGGCTAGGCTGGTCTCGAACTCCTGACCTCAAGTAGTCAGCCTGCCTCAGCCTCCCAAAGTGCTGGGATTACAGGCGGGAGCCACCACGCCCAGCCACTGAATTCCTTTTTAAAATCACATTCTCGTTATCTAAAAGTTCAGAAAATATGACTCTCAGAAATGTGTATCTGAAGCAACTCAGTGGTTTCTTTAAAAATCCAGATTCTTGCACTGGACTGAATCAGAAACCCTGGGACATAGGACAAAGGACACTGCATTTTAACAAGCTTTTTCGGGGACTGTTTTGCTCACTAAAGTGAGAGCCACAAACTTAGAAGCCCCATATTGTGCTGCAGAAGTCGCAGAAACCTTCTCTCTTTATGCCCTTTAGCAGCCAATCCCTGAACACTCCAAAGAGAAGATTTGTGTACAGAGTATCCACTGGAGCCCAAGTCATATACGATCCCAGCCTCCAAGGCCCCAAGGTCCACAGCTCTGATTCTGGCAAAGGCAGATGGAAGAGGCTGGGTCCAGCCCCCTAGGCAGCCCATTTAGATTTGAGTCCAGACCACAGCAGAAGTTGGCACAAGAAAATGGAGCTGGTACATGATACTAAAGTAATAAATAGGGAGACTGTGTTCTGAGGGAGGGTGGTGGACCTCAGGGGACATCAGAGTCCAGGTCACAGTAGCAACAATAAAGGGAGGCAGAGAGAGGGGACACACAGGCCATCACAGATTCCAGGAATATGAGTTCTCTAAATGATTTTGATAGTTCATTTTAATCAATATATAGTTTCCCCTGAGTTCCTGGGGACAAATCTCAATCATGGAGCCCTCAGAAGCGGTTGATGATTGTCAGGGGTCAGTGGACCTGGGGTCAGTCTACCAGGTGACAGGACCCTATGCATGACTGTTTCCATGTGGCATGACAGCTGCATGTGGAGATATCGAATTTCCCGTGAGGCTGACCTCCCACTTATTCTTCAGGATGAGCTGAGCTGTATTTCATGAGGATTGTTTGCTGTGGGTTTCAGTCATCCTGTAGGAATGTGTGAGCATCTGCAGATGAATGAACGTTCTAATTTCTTTATGTCTGGATGGCCACCATAACCCCTGAGAATGAGACAAATGAGCTCTCATCTCCATCTTTTAGGTGAACAAACTGAGGCTCAGACGAGGTTAGACTCGTTTCCTAAGCCACACAGGTTTAACGTTCATAGACAGGACTGCAGTCTTCTGGTTCAAATTTCCTTCCACTACAGCTTTCTGATTACATCTCAGAAACTTGGCTTTCGAGATATGTCTAGAAGCTGTTTTCTCAGCACCTTGAAAATCTATGGGAGATCTTCCTTCTTGTTTTCTAGTTTAAAACAACATTCTTATTTAATACTTTGGCATACAGTTACGGTGACCAACCTCTTGATTTCCCCAGGATTGCCCTGGTTTTAGCATGAAAGTCCTGCCTCCCAGGAAACCCCTCCATCCCAGGCAATTAGAACATTGGTCACCTCACTAGGTGATCAGACTATCTCATCCTCTCAGGGAGTCCCCAGCTGCAGGCCTCTGACTTCCCATCTGAGCTCTGACTCACTCACTTCCAGCTTCTGCCTCCCCAAGAATTCAGACTCTTCAGAGCAAATACAACACCGAGAAATCATTCTCCACTCAGCTAAGCACATTCGGTGAGCTTCTGATTGCAATGGACATCTTAGCAATGTAAGAGAATGTACACAGAAATATCAGATTTATTAGCACCAATGTCCAAATGGCCATATATCAAAAATTTGCTTTACTGAACAATGGTGCTGGAAATGAAAATATAATTGGAGACCCAGACACTATATTCTATACTTAAACTAGAAAAAAGTGAGTGTTATTTGCATTCATTATGTCCAATGGAGCAGACAATCTGGTTAAATTCTGGCTTTGCTGCTTAACAGCTGTGTGGCCTTAGGTAAGTTGCCTAATGTCTCTCTGTACCTCAGTTTCCTCATGTGTAAAATGGAAACGATAGCATCTACTTTACAGCGTTATGATGAGAATTAATACATATAAGTCACTAGAGAGTGCCTGCAGTAAACGAGGTTAGCTATTGTTCATTGCCCCATAACCTACACACGGCAAGGCCAATGCCAGTATCTAAATATCACGTACCACACAAACCAAGCAGAGGATAAGAGGGGAGTCATTTGTTTCCCAATAACTGGGGAAAGGAAAAGGGAGACTGGAAAACTGTTTTAGACCGAATCTGTTCTTCTTTCTTCTTCCCTTCGAGAGTCATTTTATCCTCAAGCACTATTGCTGATTCTATCCTCATGATCTGGGATGCCCAAAACAAGCAAGGAACAGTCCATCAGTAATGTCCCTCACATTAGTACAGCACTTTATATATAGCAACTCACTTGTACGCATGTCACTCTGCCGCCACATCTATACAAAGCCACTTCCACTACAAACCAAACTTCTCTGACCCATGCGATCTGCCTAGCATTGACCACTGAGCTTCTATCTACCATGTGTCTCTTGCTAAGCTGGATGCTGTGGGAGATGGAGGATGCAACAAAGTGTAAAAAGTGGGCGGAGCTGACCCTGGACCATTTACATGTGTCTGGGGGAAGAGCTCTCCAGGTCTCCAGGTGTGTAAAACAGGACACATCGGGTGTCAAATGACCTTGGGATTCAGAAAGGACAGGCAAAGGCACGGCACTGTTGGCGGAAGGGGTCCACACAGGGAAGAGGAGAAGCCCCCTGTAGCCCAGCCTTTTACACCGACTTCACTCAGTCTTCTAGAACAGATGTGATGAGCGCGCTGACCCTCCAGCCTTAGCCTCTCAGTGTGCTCCAGAGAACTTCCAACAGGAAGATTGGCTTCTCTGGGCCCGAGGGCTTTCTCCAGTGCTAGTGCTTTCCAGATGAGCTACAAAATTAACACTCGCTGGGAAATTCACATCCTCTGCGGAGCAGCCTTTAGGGACTGAGAGGAGTTGGTGTGTACACACCCCAGCCCCCCACCCCCGGGAGGATCGTTTTTTGAGGTGTGTGTTTTACACTCGTGTAACAGCTTCCCCCTTGGGATGAAGCTGCAGCTGCGCATTGTGTTGACTGGCTGACCATGGCCCCTTTACCGGTTTTCTCCCCTCCCCTTATCACTGCCCACACCTCTCCCGGGCTCTCCCTGGTTTACCTTCTCCCCAGTAAACTTGCACATCCTTGTCTCAGAGGCTGCTTCTGACAAAACTCAAACTAAGACATCCCCCTATTTCCTGTGAATGGATTAATATTGTACCCATTTGACTAATGAGAAAACTAAGACTCAGACTATGTGGTCTGAGGTCACATAGCAAGCATGTGATTGTTCTCAGGCTTGACCCCACATCCCTCTGTACCACCACACCTGTCCTTGTAGCATACTGAGAGAATTGCACACACAAGCATGTTGCTGGATCCCAGGGACAGTGCTCACCCTGACTCCCACCTCCACCCCACTCAGGAAACTGGGAATTTTCTCCTGCCTCAGCCTCCTGAGTAACTGGGATTACAGGCCTGCACCACCATGCCCGGCTAATTTTGCATTTTTAGTAGAGATGGGATTTCTCCATGTTGGTCAGGCTGGACTCAAACTCCTGACCTCAGGTGATCTGCCTGCCTCAGCCTCCCAAAGTGCTGGGATTAGAGGCGTGAGCCACCGTGCCCGGCCCCAAGTAGAAATCTTATACTCCACGTAGGCCTGAAGCGCAAGGCAAGAAATAGGAAGCTACCCTTTCTGGTATGTGGAGTTGCTGAGAAAGTGTTATCTGTAAATTGTTTATCCAGATCCATAGAGAACAGCTTTTACAAGCACAGTCCCAACTTTTGGCAATTTTTGCAAATCATTTGGATTAAGGTAGCATGCAGCTATTGTGTTGGGCTAAGTGTGAGTATGTGGCTGGATGTGAAATTTTACTGACAACCAAACCATAGTTGGGAAACTTGAAAGTGTTGCCAAGGCTCAGGGAGCTGTTGGTAAACCCAGGTAAAGTTTTGGCTCAGTGAAGAGATAACTTGATCCAAGTTTTGAACAAGATGGAATTATCACGAGCAGGAGCAGATGGATGGGGTAAATCACATGAAATCAGCCTAAACTTATTAAAAGCTGACCGCAAAGCTTCTTCCATTTATGTCCAGTGTTCTAGTTATCTATTGCTGCATAATAAACCACCCCAAAACTCAGTGGATTAGAACCTGGCCATTCCGTTGTATCTCCTGAATGTGTGGGTCAGGAATTCAGGCAGGGCTTGGCTGAGAGATTCTGTTCCACATAGTATCAACCAAGGTTACTCACAAGTATTCAGCTGGCAGGTGGGCTGGTCTGAAGGGTCTGTGATGGCTTCACTCACATGTCAGGCACATTGGTGGACATGGCTAGAAGGCTGGGCTTGATGGCTAGAAGGCTGGGCTTGATAGAAACTGTTGATCAGAGAACCTATCCATACATGGTCTCTCCAGCCTGGTGGCCTCAGGGCAGTTGGACTTCTTACACAGCAGGTCAGTGCTCCAAAAACAAGTACACAGTGAACAAGCTGGAAGCCACATGGTTTTTTATGACCTAGCTTTGAAATCACATAGAGTCACTTCTGCTGTACTGCTTGTCAAAGCAGTCACAAGCCCAACCAGATTCAAGGGGAAGAGACTTAGATCCAAACCCTCAATGGTAGAAGTATGTAAAAGTACAACATCCAGATTGGGTTAGAAGTAAGGAAGGGGCCGGGGATGGTGGCTCACACCTGTCATCCCAGCACTTGGGAGGCTGAGGTAGGTGGATCACCTGAGGTCAGGAGTTCAAGACTAGCCTGGCCAAAATGGCAAAACCCCCTCTCTACTAAAAATACAAAAAATTAGCCAGGCATAGTGGCAGACACCTGTAATCCCAGCTACTCTGGAGGCTGAGGCAGGAGAATCACTTGAACCCAGGAGGCAGAGGTTGAAGTGAACCGAGATTACACCACTGAACTCCAATGCCTTGGCAACAAGAGTGAAACTCCATCGCAAAAAAAAAAAAAAAAAAAAAAGGAAGCAAAGAAGGGAAGCCAGAGCTTGCAGGCTTCCTCTGAATCTGAAATTATAGTTGCAGTTGCTTTGTCCAAGGGAAGGAATTCTAAAGGGAGGGATCTGGTTGGGTTAAAATTGTTGGAAAGCCAAACCAAGTCCACACTGGATTCTACAGAAGATTTGTTGTCCCACTGAGCTCACAGGGACACCCAGGCACCTGCTGCAGCACCACCCTGCTCTCTGGCCTGTACTGCCAGCTGCCAGCGTGGCCTGGCTTCCTGACAGCTCTGCACTCAGCACTGGCTGTCATGATGAAAGCAGCTGAGCAAAGTGTTTCCCTTGCTTGGGGACGCTGGTCTCCTGGAGCTGAGAAAAAGGGAGGAGGCCAATGTGGGAGAGTTTGGCTGATTTGAGCAATATGCAGACCACATGGGGATCAGGAGCCTGAGAAAGAGTGCCTGGTCTTGCTCATCACATTGAAGGCCTGCAACTAAGGTCAGGCTCCATGGGGCACTCTCACCAAAGCCTGCATCTCCCAAGGCAAGGCAACTCTGTGAGCCTCAATGCTGATGGTACTGTCCAAGCATGGAGAAGAGGAGAATGCCACAGTCTCTCACACATCTAGGTACCACGGCCTGGCACAGGTATGTCCTCAGAAGAGTCAACTGAATAAACTCATTGGTTCAATTGAATATGCTTTTCACATAATGTTTGTGCACTTTTTTTTTTTTTTTTTTGCATTTACTACGTAAGAGATCTAGAAAAGGATGGCAGTGGGGGTAGGGGGTTGGTAATGAAAAGAAGAGAGAGAAAGGTCCTGATGCTTGTGGAAACAAGCTTCTGGCCTTGAACTATGGCCCAATCCAGTGGCTGGAAGTAATCTGACCCTACAGAGAGCCCCTTGGCTAATAAGCTCTTTACTCAGAATGAGTTTGAAATGTTTGATACGGTCCTAATTAAACTAATTATTTCCCTCCAAACTTGCAAACTTATATAAATAATAATGCTTTCATATATGCTAATTCATCAGTCCTTACAAAACTCCAAGGAATAGATGCATTTATCCTTTTTACTTTCAAACATGGAAAAAATAGAATGAATCAAATAAAAGCCCAGATTTGTCGCTCTCTCTCTGTCTCAAATCCTGTTTTGAATTGCTGCTCTGCCTCTGGGGTGATTCTACAATCACCACTCACCCCATCACGTGGCCTAGAAACCTAGTAATATGGGCTTCATCCTGACCTCCATGGCAGTCAACAAACAGGTCTCATTCATTTTTCATCCTCAGCCTTCCTCTATCACTCGCCTTGTGTCAGGGTCCTCAGACTTTCATCCTTCATTCCTTGCCACCAGGGCTATTGAGCCAGCCTCCTGACAAGACCTCTGTTCTACCCCTGTAGTCCATCCCTCACACTGTAACCAAAGAAACCTGAAACACAGACCTCAGCATACTAAGCCTTTTGCTCATAAAGTATCACTCACTCCCTACAACTCTACAGCCTGCAGAATAAGTGACTAGCCCTGAAGCCTGGTGTTCAAGGCTTTCCGTGATCTCCTCCTGATCAACATTTCTCATCTCATCTACCACTATCCCCTTTCATGATGTTTTTGCAAACCAGAGTCTGCAAAGCTCTGAGCATTGTTCTGGAAGAGGAGAGGAGTTCTACACAATAATTTTGAAATGTTATGTTTTTGTTTCAGTGATACAGGAAAAAATAGATAAATATAACACTCACTTTCTGATCCTGCCTCATTATTTTAATCTCTGTGTTATTTATACTTGCTTTCACAATCTTTGATGTTATTAACTATTCAGGTGACAGTTTTTAACTTTGAACGCGGAGTTTCTCAAACTGTGGTTGCAGAGCCTCCAAGAGTACCGGGATAGTTGCTCATAAGTCTTCAAGCTCTTCTCTATATTCCAGCTGTACTACACTGTGCTTGTATGTGGATCAGATCACAAATTTCATTTTAGCCTTATCCCTGCTTCATCATCTTTACTCGTGTTCTTCCTTTGGTTTAGAATGCCTTTCCACATTCTGCACACTCAGCTCCTACCCAGCACCATTTCCAAGCTTCTTCACGCATGTCACTAGGGATAGCCCTGCTATAGATCTCCAGATGTAAAGATTCTCTGAGTTGGAATGGGCACTGTAGATCATAGGCTATTGTCCTCTTCTTACAGTGAGAAAAACCTAGGCACAAAAAATGGAAGTAACAAACCAAGTCTAGAATCCAGGCCCCCTGACATCTTATATGGTGTTCTGTTCACATCTCGCAACATACTGCACACTTTTCTTAAAAGTTTTATCATCCATTTTTACATTGAGTGGCTGGAAGGGCTGCATGCAGAGTAAATCCTTAGCTTCCCTATAACCATAACTGACAGGGCCATAAAACCACAGTAATTACCTGACATGTTCATATGTCTAAAGCACTATAATAGAATATCCCATGAGATCTGAATGCTGGAAGCACTTTGCATTTTTGCATTGGACAATGGAGGCTGCTCCAATTAATGTCAATCAGACTTACTCACTCCAGAGAAGTCCAAAATTATATGCTGATTTATTGAACTTAGTATAATGTTCCAAAATTGATTTTTTAACATTTCTGCAAACTAAGATATTATAGAGAGGCAATATAGCAATTAGTTCAATGTTCTGAACTTAGTAGACACTCAATAAATGTGAGCTGAATGAATAGATGCCCCATAGGCTGGGAGCCAAGATACCTGAGTGCCAGTCTCATTCTTCTACTAATAGGCCATGGGGGATTGGGAAAATTGCTTTCCCTCACTAAGCTTCAGTCTACTCATCTGTAAAATGAGGTATTTGGAGCAACCCAATTTTATCTTCCTGAGATAAGTCCCTTGCAGCTCTAAAAGTCTACAATTTTGTGAAAATGATAAATCCATTTATACTATTGGTGTCAAAGGAAAAGAAAAATAATACTATAATTTATTACCTATTCTAATTTTATGCTCAATTGCTTCTTTCATGCATCATTATAGGTGTTTTCAGATCCATTACATAGTTGAGTTATCACGACTAACTTTTGAGGAAAATACTATTATATTCTGCCTCTACATTTGGGAAAACAAGTTTTATTAACTTGAGAAGACTTCAACTTCCAGTCTTGATAGAATTACTACTGTTCTCAGACATTGGGAAATAGATAGTGCAAACTGTAATCTGTGAGAGAATGCATCAATGAGGTGAGACCTGAAATAACCCTAGCTTTATGCTTGCAGGCAATTTCCAGCCCAAGAGCACAGTCCAGTAGCTTCACTAGGTTGAGGAGACAGAGATCAGTCTGTGGACCTGAGGCAGCTAGGAGGTGAGGATCACAATTTTTGAAAGGAGGGAGATACACAGAAAAATAACACCATAAGTCTGCTGAGATATTTTCCTGAGTCTTTGCTGAGTATTCAACTATATGTGTATAAAGTAAAACTCTACATGACCAGGGAAGAGAAACGACAGGAGAGTTGAAGCTGAACAATCCAAAGCTCTCAAAAGGTAAGGCCGTAATTGTGCATCAACCAGCCAACGTGGAGAGTCCTTGGTGATCCCTTGGGACATTCAGTGAAGAACCCAGAGAAATCACACTTGAGGAAAATGGCTGAATTATTCCTGGAGTGAAGGTTACTCCAGACTCTCCATAGCAAAGTGTAAAGCCAGGATTCAAAGATGTCAAACTGATCCATGTGTAACTTAACTGTCTGCCAAAATAAAGCCCAAACAAAGCCAAAACCAAGATTTTTCTTTAAAAAAAGAAGACAACAAAGTCCAAATACTTAATGATAGAATATTACAATGTCTGCCATCTAATAAAAAATTACTAGACATATAAAGACGCAGAAAAATGGTGACCCATAATCAAGAGAAAAATCAGTCAATAGAAACAGACCTATAAATGACAGAGATGATGTACAAGTATTTAAGTGACTTGACAAGACCCATCAGTAGGGAGTGCAAATTCAAACCCAGGTCTCCTGACACTCATTTAGTGCTCTTTTCATTGCCTGTGCTCACCAGTCTCTCTGCATGTGTGGACATTTATAGGGTTTTACCATGACAATCCCAGTGCCATTTTCCTATGCTTCTGGTCTGCACTTTGGTCACAATAGCTGAGAAGCCTGCAGAGGTAGCCACAGATATGAAACCTACAAAGGCCAGTCTCTGATCAGGAACAAGCACTGACCATCTTCATAGACAAAATTTCAACAATGCTGAAACAGAACTCACTTGTGTCTCTTCCCCCTCCTATAGAACTTGCATGGGAATTACCCATGGCCATTCCCACATGGCCACTCCTGGTCACATCTCTGGCCAGAAGGTCTCTCCTCCCCAAGGGCTACAGCTTAAGGGAACATGAAAATCAGTGTGTGAACAATGGCAGCATGCACCAGGAAACCAGCCCTCAGCTTCAGCCCTGATTGGCAAAAACTTAAGCAAGGGGTAAATGGAAACAGAAAGCATCACAGGAGGCTGTCAGCCTGCAGAAAGGTACAAGTCCCACCCCCAATGCTGGGAGTATATTCATGTGTGTGCTGCCTACAAGTGTTTGTAAGAGAATGGTGACACAGAGTCACCTCCCAGGCTGGGGGTACAGTTTTCCTCCCTGCAATTTACTACACAAGTTGTTACCAAAGCAAATATCAAAGCCCTGCAATTTGCTAATTATAGGCGGGATCCTGGGCTTGTGGGCCCAATTAACCACTTGTTCCTCATTTTCTGTGTATGACCTGCCGACTGCACCCACAATTACCCACTTGTCTTTTTAACTGCCCTGTGAGCTGGCTGACTCACCTCCAATTCACTCCCACTATCCCCTCCAGATGGCCTTTGGTATCTTTTTGTTTCCAAGCTCCCTCCACTTGACTATTATCTTTCTTTGCATCACAGGCCACTGTCTGGTCACCCAGGCTAGGGCTCCTACAAGAAGTCCTGATCTTACTCTTTGCCTACACTTGGAGCCTGTAAGGCAAGAAGCAGGTCCTGTTGGTCTCGGCATCTTGCCTAGCTCCTCAAGGAAGCTCAGGAGGCTGTGGCCACATTCAGCCTCTGCTCCCAGACAGACTCCACAAAAGGAGCAAGGAAAATTACAGCTTCTCTGGAACAGGCCCACTGCCAGGGCTCCTGCCCATGGCCTCCATCAATGCCTCCCTGGTTCCCTACCTCAGCCAAGCCAGGGCTGGATCCAGGGAAACTCATCACCATTCCTGGAAGAGGACATCCCAACAGCTGCCAGCATTAGCTCTCTGGAGAGACACAAATCAAAAAAGGAGAAAAATCCCTCAGGATCTCCTGCTTCATTAGGCAGACTTCCTGGCAAGCAAAGAATTTCCAGCAAACTTTTTGATGGGTTACTATGTCAATGGTTCCTACCCTTTTTTGTGTCACAGACACCTTGGAAAATCTAATGAAAGTTCTGGACCCTCTCCAGTGAGAAATGCTCATATGCATTCATCCATTTATTTATTTAATCATTCAGCAAATACTTATGGAGCACCTATGTGCCAGGCACTATTGCAGGGACTCAGAAACATCAGTGGACAAATAGACAGAATTTCCTGCTCTCATGTAGCTTATATTGTAACACAGAAAAACAAGCAATAAAAATTGAATGTAATAAATACGTAAAATATATAATTTGCTAGAAAACAAGTACTATGGGCCAGTCAAGGTGGTGCACACCTGTAATCCCAGCACTTTGGGAGGCTAAGGCGGGCAGATCACTTGAGCCCAGGAGTTCGAGACCAGCCTGGACAACATGGCAAAACCCCATCTCTACAAAGAAAAAAAAAAACGAAGAATTAGCCAGGCATGGTAGAATGTGCCTATAGTCCCAGCTACCCAGGAGGCTGAGGTAGGAGGATCACTTGAGACCAGGAGGTTGAGACCTCAGTGAGCCATGATCACTCCACTGTACTCCAGGCTGGGCAACAGAGTGAGACCCTGTCCTGGTAAAGAGTGCTATGGAAAAAGGAAAATTAGAGCAGGATAAGAGAGAGATAGGTGGGAATGATGTCACATTTTTAAACAGGATGTGTCAGGGAGTCTTCATTGAGAAGTGAATGTGAGCAAAGAACCAAAGAATATAAGCGGTTTTGCCATGTGGTTATCTGGGGAAAGAGCACAGCAACAAGAGCATGAACAGCCTGAGGTCATGCCCAGCGTGAATGAGGACAAGCAAAAAGAGCAGCATGGCTGGACCTCGGGAAGTGGGAGGAAGGCTGCCTCAGTGAGAGATGAGGTCACAGGGGCAGAAGTCGGGAGACACATATCACATAGGAATTTTACTGAGTTAAATCTAAAGCCATGAGTGGACTTTGAGCAAAGGGGCAATATGATCTAAGACTTTAGAATGTCTGTCTGAGGCTGCTACGGGGAGCAAAAGATTTAAATGTCAAAAAATGGTAGCCTGGGCCGGGCGCAGTGGCTCACACCTGTAATCCCAGCACTTTGGGAGGCCGAGGCGTGTGGATCACCAGGTCAGGAGTTCAAGACCAGCATGGCCAACATGGTGAAACCCCATCTCTACTAAGAAATACAAAAATTAGCTGGGCATGGTGGTGCGTGCCTGTAATCTCAGCTACTCGGGAGGCTGAGGCAGAAGAATCGCTTCAACCCTGGAGACAGAGGTTGCAGTGAGCCTAGATCGCACCACTGCACTCCAACCATGGCGAGAGAGAAAAAGAAAAGAAAAGAAAATGGTGGCCTTGGCCAGAGTGGTTGCAGTGGAGACTGCTGGAAGGTTGAGTCAAGAGCATCTCTGCAATGGATGTGGCATGTGTGAGAAAGAGGCACACGTAGAATTTCACACGCGATTCAGCACTTTAGCAATCCCCTCTGTCCATCCATGGATGCAGGGTCCTTTACCAGATGACAAGGAAAGTGGTGGACCCTAGAAGGGAGAGGGAAGGGACTTCAGTGAGTGGACACGGGGAGCCCTAGCTATATCTACAAGTTTCACTTCTTTTAAATACATAATAAAAAGACATTTAAAGTGAATATGACAAAAGGGAAGGGACTTCAGTGAGTGGACACGGGGAGCCCTAGCTGTATCTACAAGTTTCACTTCTTTTAAATACATAATAAAAAGACATTTAAAGTGAATATGACAAAAGTAACCATTGGTAGTCTAAGTGGTGGATACATGATTGTTATACCATTTCTGTGTATTTTAAAAGACTCATCATTGAAAATGAAGCTGCTTATCTCAAGATTTTCCAGATGCCTCCCGTTTGCTTTTTCAACGTATTGAGGGGGAATCAATACAACAGTGCTGGTCATTCTGTCTGCAACAACTGGCCAGGTGCCTGGGAATGGGAATACTTCATTTCTCTTACTTTCCTTCCCTTTCTTCCAGTGGCTCAGAGTCAAATGTGAGAGAAGACAGGACAAACACAAAAACCACACTGTACCAAACACAGAGTCTAGAGGAGGAAGAGAGTGATGGTAACTGGGAAGACCTGGGAAGGCCTCCTGGCAGAGGCGGCCTTTAAGCAGGATCCGGGAGAATGGGCAAACTGGGACTCGCAAGGAGAGAGACAGTGGGTTCCGCTGGAGGCTAATGCTCTAACAAAGGCACAGTGGGGAGCAAGCTAGGGCCCCAGCACCTACTCCACAATGGCCCATTTTAAGGGGAACAGGCAGGGGATTTCTTTGTCTCTGCTACTGAATCAGAGACCAGACTAGATCTGAGGTGCTTTTCAGAACCCTGAAGTTGCCCCAGTGGGTCCAAGAAGGCCACGTGGTGGACAAGCTTGGTTCTGGGCCTGCAGCAAGCTCTAACCTGCAGATGAGAATGACTTTGGGGCCCCCAGAGATGAGGGCTACTGAGGCAGGGCAGAGCCCCCTTGCAGACCTGAGTGAAGATCTCCTTAGAAGCCTCCCCAGCCAGCTCAGCCACCTCAGGATCTGGCCCCTAGACGCAAATTTCTCACAGTCTGAGCCTTGGGGAAGGTCCCCTGCTGCCCACATTTTGCAAAAATTTGCGCCATGTCACAGTTCTGATTAGGTGCCAAGAGAACTATTTCCCAGGCCACAGCTTTAACAAGGCCATGCTTCCTAATTACTGGTTTTCTCCTAATTAAATAAAAAAGGGGGGGAGGTAACCAGTGATTACCCCACCTTATAATACCACCTTCCATTTATATGCGTCTGTCTTCAGAGAAGCTCAAAGTGCTTTGTATATTATTGCATATTTTTCCCTCGTAACATCCTTGAGATTCCTAGGGGTGCTTATTATCATACCATTTTACAGCTGGGAAAAGAGGTGCTGGCTGAGGTGAAGCAAAGTGTCCAAGTGCCCTCACTAGCGATGATTAGTATTCTGAAGCTCCTCTAAGAAACCCCTATACGTTTAGAAATGAAGTCAGCTCCCGGGAGATAAACTAGGCTAAAGCAACACATAAATAATGGTTATTTATTGCAAACTTTACAATAGTAATTAACACTGTTTAATTCTCACAACAGTCCTATGAAACAGACACTCTTACACTCATCATGAGGACAATGAGATTCAGAGAGGGAAAGTTACTTGCTTAGAGCTGCATAATAATATTAGGTTAGTACAAAAGTAATCGCGTTTTGGCATTACTTTCAATGGCAAAAACCATGATTACTTTTGCACCAAACTAATAATAGTTGTGACAATAGTAAAAGCAGAAACTAATATTTATTGAGCACTTGCCATGGGCCAGGCATTTTAGACTTACTAACACTTTAAGTTCTTACAACACCTTCTGAAGTAGGTGTTAGTATTATCACCATTGTGCTGATGACAAGACTGAAGCACAGAAAAGTTAAGTAACCTGCCCAAGGTCACATAGCAAGTAAGTGGCAGAGCCATACAGGAACCCACAAAGGGTCTCACCATACCAGTTTACCCACCTGAAGGAATATTGTACTCTTAAGGTTGGCCTGGGGATACTCAGACAGTCAGGATGATGCATGGGTACCCCCAGGACACCCTGTGGGTGCACTTTGTTTTTTGTTTGTTTGTTTGCTTTTGAGACGGAGTCTCACTCTGTCGCCAGGTTGGAGTGCAGTGGCACAATCTCAGCTCACCGCAACCTCTGCCTTTCGGGTTCAAGTGATTCTCCTGCCTCAGCCTCCCAAGTAGCTGGGACTACAGGCATGTGCCACCACGCCCGGCTAATTTTTGTATTTTTAGTACAGATGGGGTTTCACCATGTTGGCCAGGATGGTCTCGATCTCTTGACCTCGTGATCCACCCACCTCAGCCTCCCAAAGTGCTGGGATTACAGGCGTAAGCCACCGCGCCCGGCCTAGATGCACTTTCAGTACCCCTGCTGTGTGCTGTGTGGGTGGGTACTGAGTGGGCGGCGGGAGGGGCACAAAGCTCTTCCTGCCTGACTCAGGCAACTGTGCTGGGTACTTTTTGCTGATATAAAATGGCGCTGTAGGAGCTGTTAGCACAAAGGTAATGGAATCCAAGAGGAAGAATTAGCCAAGAGAGACGTTCAGACCAGTGGGAAGCGAAGCTGGTGTGGCGCGTGTTTGGGGGAGGGCACACATCTTGCTTTTCCACGTGCCAGAGAAGGGAGCTCTCAAACCATCCTAGAACTTTGGTCTTCACTGCTCTCTCCCCAGAAGCATCCTCTAAGGACTCGTTCTGTGCCCACACCTCCATACAAAGAAACAAACTAGACAGGGACAAATTCTGACTCCTCGACAGTCTAGCCAAACCTGTTCATCAACAAACTGGCCTGCTGGATGCAGACTTCACTGTTTCAGGGCAGGAGTTCCCCCAAGTGCCTGGCATACTTCCTGGGGCATCCAAGGCAAGACCTGGCCCCTGCCTCAACCCTCATGCCGTGGGTCCCTCTCTTTCTCACACCTCTCTCCTCTCTCTTCAGACCGACCCTGGGAGCCAACTGCCTGCCATCGGCCTCTCCTGTCCCTGCCTGCCCTGTCCCTTTCCAACAGGCAATAGATGAGGTTGCCAGGGAGCCCCTCTTGAGAATGGCGGCATGAGAGTCAACAAGCTGCCAGCACGTGTCCAAAACGGACAGCAAGTACTTAGTTCCTGGTGAGTGCTGGGTGTGCCACCCCGGGGTCCCAGCACTTTCTGACCAAAACAGAGCATTTAAGAAGGTCCTGGCCAGGTGTGATGGCTCACGCCTGTATCCTAGCACTTTGGGAGGCCGAGGTGGGCGGATCACCTGAGGTCGCGAGTTCGAGACCAGCCTGACCAACATGGAGAAACCGCGTATCTACTAAAAACACACACAAAATTAGCCGGGCGTGGTGGTGCATGCCTGTAATCCCATAGTCCCAGCTACTTGGGAGGCTGAGGCAGGAGAGTCGCTTGAACCTGGGAGGCGGAGGTTGCAGTGAGCCGACTCCAGCCTCGGCAATTAAAGCAAAACTCCTTCTAAAAAAAGAAAAAAAGAAAAGAAAAGAAAAAAGAAAGTCCTCACTTGCCATGTCTGACTTCCAGATTTCCCAGCGTTTCCTTCTCCACTTTCTTGAGGTTCGTGGCTTGCAAAGGTTAGGAGCACTGGCTCTGGAGCAAGACCGCCTAAATGTAAACCCAACCCAACCATTTGGAAGCTGTGTGATTCTGAGGAAGTTGTTAAACCTCTCTGGGCCTTCTTTGGTGCCTGTTAGGCAGAAATAAGAATTCCTATGTCATAGAATTGTTGTGATGATTAAATGAGTTATTACATTTAAGTGATTAGAACCGTGCTTAGCACAGAGGAAGCACTCAAAAGTTAACTACTATTAGTGATGTCTAAACTTTTTTCCCCAGGGAAGGATCAATGCATTTATCTGAGTCAAGTTCAACTTTGCACTCCAGTCCTTCAGGCAGGTAGAGAGGTATCTGAATCATGTGAAAACCGTTACCGGTTTGGGGGCGAATATCAGGAAGGAGATTTAGCCCTTAGAGATTTAAGGGCTTAAAGAGCCTCAGTCCCTGTTGACCACATAACATCTGCAGAAAAGAAAAAAAGAAGGAAAGAGCGCTGAAGGACCCACCCAGGGAGGAGGCTGAGCCGCGCTCCCTCTAGCCTCCCCAGAGGTGCATTCGTTAGGTTCCCGCCCCGGCCCCAGCCCCAGCCCCAGCATCAGCTCCGGTTCCTCTGCAGACGTTCAGCCCCTTCGGAAATGTAAAACCCGGGAAGCGAAAGCTGCGGCGACCTCCCAGAGCCTCTCAGGCACGCGGCATCTCTCCCCACCGGCAGCGCCTTGAAATACCAAAGGCCTAGCCAAAGATGGAACCGTTTTGTTGGGAGCTCGGGTTTCCCCCGCCGCGAGGCTGAGCCGGTGGCGCAGCTGCTCAAAGGTCACGCCCGAGACACGTCCGCACAAGCCCGGGTGGCGGGGCGGGCAGCGGGGAGAGAAGAGGGGAGTGGGGAGGGGGACGGGGGCAGGGGGGAGGGGCGCCACCTTCTCCAGGGCCCTGCGGGGTGGGCTCCCATCTTCATCTCGCAAGCATCCAACCCGGGGAGGTGGCTTTCCTCTCCCTACTAAGATTTTATTTTTGCAAAACAAAAGGGATGCCAAAAAAGCAAAAGTTCCTAAATGAAAAGAAAATGCTTCTTTAAAAATGCTAATTGTGAGCTTTTTATTATTGTTTTGGAATTTCAACTGATGGCTGAAAATCTAAATTTGGCCACAGGAAACCTGGATCCAGTTAACCTTGAGAAGTTAAGTCTTCATTTTCTATTAAGTAAAATATTTGGGTTTGAATGCTTAGAGCCCTCTGCTTATGATAAAAATAGAGGCACTGAGCAGTTTAACCACCTGTGTTTTCCTTGGATCGCATATTTTCCACAGTAAACAAGAAAACACAGATTGGAAATCCATTCATTCCTTCATAAGAGTGCTTCAGTTGGGGTTTATTTGTGTTTTCAATCAATAGAAACCAAAAACAACCTTTGCAGGGTTATGATATTTCATGCAAAGAAGCTCCAAGAAGCTCTTTTTATCCCCTCTGCAGCTATTTCTACATAAATCCCCAGATTTTTTTAACGCAGTTAATAATTATAATTCCATTTAGTTTTCTGAGCACATACTACATGTTTTACCTGCTGTCATCTCATTTGTGATAACACTTGGAGAGTAGTTATTCTTAATTCTTATTTGCCAGATGAGAAGACAGGCTCAGAAAAAATAAGCAGTAGCTAATAAGGGACACAGCCTTTACATCTGAGAGCTACAAAGCTGTGCTGATTCCACCACCAGAAACCATTTCCAGTGTTTAAATATTACTAAATAAATAGACGGTTAGATTCATGGACAGGAGTTTGTTCTTTTAATTCCCAAGCTTGCTCTTTAGGTGACAGGCATACAGTGGAAGACAAGTTTCTGGCCAGGATAATACTATATAGCATTACTAAGCCTCTGAGCCTCAGTTTCCCTTCTCCAAAATGAGACATATATTTAAGGTATATATCCAGCTCTGACATCCAGAGACTTATTCGAAATGAAAAGCTTAGGCTCAGGCCGGGTGTGGTGGCTCACGCCTGTAATCCCAGCGCTTTGGGAAGCCAAGGCGGGTGGATCACCTGAGGGCAGGAGTTTGAGACTAGCCTGGCCAACATGGTGAAACCCCGTTTCTACTAAAAATACAAAAATTAGCTGGGCATGGTGGTGGGTGCCTGTAATCCCAGCTACTCGGGAGGCTGACATGGGAGAATCACTTGAACCAGGGAGGCAGGGATTGCAGTGAGCCAAGATCGCACCACTGCACTACAGCCTGGGTGACAAGAACGAACCTCCATCTAAGAAAAAAAAAAAAAGCTTAAGCTCTTTGGTCCATCACTGGCATGGCATAGTATTAATCACCCCTTTCCTGACTCCCTGCTTCTATTCATCTAACTCTGTGGTTCTCAACGTTAAAATCTCCTGGAGGAGCTTTTAAAAATACAGATGCTTAGGCCTCGCAGCCAGAGATTCTGCTTTCATTGGCTTGAAGTATGGCCCAGGCCTCAGCATTTTTCAAAAGCTCCCCAGGTGAATGTGTAGCCAGGGTTGAATATTGATCTAACCTAGTGAACGACTCCAGTTTCATCCACCCCAGCTGTGCTTTTATAAATGTAGTTACCATAACTGGAATTACTTTTTATAAAATCCAATAAGACTAGCGCTACCAGAGTCAATCTCAAAACAGATGTGAGCTTTCACTCTATTTAATTGTGTATTTTGCTTAAATAAGTTAAGGTGTCTCACCAAAGCTTCAAAATGCTGTTAAGTGTATGTGTGTTTGTGTGTGTGTGTGTGTGTGTTTGTGTGTGTGTGCGTGTGTGTTGTTGCTGATCCTTTCCTAAGGGACAGAGACAGAATAGTACTATAAGAACCAGAAGGTTCTAGGTCAATCTGATCCAATAATTGATTGGCCAAGTGAAATAAATCACATAAAATATTTATTTAACCCAGGGATAATGCCCATTCTTTGGAACTGGCTTGTGTTAGACCCAGCCTAAGAGACTGGTCTGAGCTGGAGGTGGTAGAAGTATGAAAGTCAGGATAAGAGGTCAGGCCGGAGCCATTTGAATCCCCAGTGGCTCTAGGCTATTTTATGTACGATTAGTCTCTCATGTTGGCATCTATGAGAGATGTCAAACTTTCCAAGGCACTCCATCTAAATGTGATCCAATGACATAAGTGCCCAGGGAAAGCCCAAACACTCTTATCAATCAAAAAAGATTTAGTTTTCCTATATAGAAGGATCTACTGATTTCTTGATATACAGAAGAAATCTAGCGTTTGTTTTGTAAGTAAATGTCTATAATATTTTAAATGTTCATTAAACGTAAGCTTCTGCTTTGCTGGTTTGCATGACCCTAAGGGACCCATCTCCCCACTGCCACATCATGCACACACACAAACCTCACATACACACTTCACTGAAGTTTTGGGTTTTACATATGCATATACAGGTACTCATACACACCCCCCCCACACACACACACAGTGTCATGTGGTGCATAACAACGTTTCAGTCAACGATGAACTTCATATATGAAGGCAGTCCCATAAGATTATAACACCATATTTTTAGTGTACCTTTTCTATGTTTACATATGTTAAGATACACAAATACTTACCATTGAGTTATAAGTGTCCACAGCATTCAGTGGATGACATGCTGTACAAGTTTGTGGCCTGGGAGCAATAGGCTGTACAATATAGCCTAGGTGTGTAGTAGGCCATACCATCCAGGTGTGTGTAAGTGCCCTCTATGGTGTGTTCACACAATGATGAAATCACCTAACAATGCATTTCCCAGAACGTATCCCCATCCTTAAGTGGCGAATGACCATGTATATAAATGGAAGCAAGCATGTAGTTTCACTCAGCCTCTGGTGACATGTTTAAGGTGAATGAAACACTACCTTTGGTGTTAGTTGACACTGTGGTCGGAACAGTGATTTCTCCAAACATCTTTGGTATGGACTGATATTCAAACAGGTCAAGCAATGCTGGGGACCTTTGGCCTTTACCTGTTACTTATAAATAATCTCAACCATACAAAACAGACAAAAGATTTTACTTAATGACTTAATGTAAAAATGCATGAAATTGCTTGCATGTTAAACTGCTGTGTTTCCCCTTGGCCATAGAAAGATTAACATTTCTGTTTGGGGAATGGTTTTGATCTTGCCTTCCAGCCACAGTATTTACATTCCAGTAAAGTTCATCTGGATTAGTTAATATTCACATGAATGAATATGCAGCCCCAGATCATGTTCTTAAATAAAATTAAATCCAAAGAAGGTGGGGAGACTTATTCTAATAAACTAAAGATGAAAATCACAAAAAGATGCAGAAATACTTGCTAATGTAAATGTCCATGATAAACTCTGGGCCAAAAAAAAAAAAATCATCTAAGGACTAAACCAAGGCAGGAACATACTGATGAAAGTGTGCCTAAAGGAAGAAACAGGGAAACCATCTTGTCAACCCAAATACATTGCCCTGCATAGATCAAAGATGGGTCTGTGCTTTAAAAAATTAAATTTAAAAAAATCATCCTAGATATGAGAAAGGACTTTGAAGTATCAGGGAAGTTGTCATTTCTTGTGTGAAATACAGGTATCAGATCAGAAATGCCGACTTGAACAAAGGAGCTAATGGTATAGTTTCCAGAGCAGGAAGTGTTTTCTGTCCCTACACCCCCGGCCTTTCTCTTTTCTGTAATGATATGTACTCTGAGTTTGAGGGGAGAGGTAACCTAATGAAAATGTTTTTTCTAATTTCTAAGAAATTAGAAAATTACTGTCTTTTTTTTTTTTTTTGAGACGGAGTCTTGTTTTGTTGCCCAGGCTAGAGTGCAGTGGCGCTACCTCGGCTCACTGCAAGCTCTGCCTCCCGGGTTCACACCATTCTCCTGCCTCAGCCTCCCGAGTAGCTGGGACTACAGGCGCCTGCCACCACGCCCAGCTAATTTTTTTGGATTTTTAGTAGAGACGGGGTTTCACCATGTTAGCCAGGATGGTCTCGATCTCCTGACCTCGTGATCCGTCCGCCTCGGCCTCCCAAAGTGCTGGGATTACAGGCGTGAGCCACCGCGCCCGGCCGAAAATTACTGTCTAATGCAATAAACATTTATTGAGCACTTTCTATGTACCAGGCAGTCACTGGGCTAAGCATAAAGGTTCCAAGATGAGTGAGATCCAGTCACCTTCCTCAAGAAGCCCCAGCAGGGGATACAGCTTATATTGAAGATTCATCTGAGGTATTAGTGCAACCAGTTTCACAGCTGATAAATTCAGTTGCTCACAACTTGAGGCTGGGGGGGTGGGAGGGAATGAGCAGGAGGTTTGGCAGTAACTTGAGCATGCCACCAGCTTTGAACTCTAGCCAATTTTTATGGTTAATGCTGGAAATTAACCCGATATGATCATCATTTCAAATCCAACAAAAGATTCCTCAGAGCCAGCCCTGGGCAAGGATTCATGGGAGGTGCTATGGAGCGGGTAGAGATGAATAAATGAGGGTCCCCTGCTCCTCTAGAGGTTTCCAACCAAGTTTCCAGATAAGAAGGAAAACCCCGTAAGTAATGTCAAGGACATCCCATTGTGTATGGTAGGGAAAGATGTAATTGGTTCTCTCCAACAGAAACTACAGTGTGGAAGAATAACGGTTTTGAAATGTGTGGAAGAATAATGCCTTAAAAGCACAGTAGGTCAAAATGCCAGAATGACAAATTAGCTTTGCTAACCACTTGGTGAATGGCCTTTTTTTCAGCACCTTGGGCTGATTAAGAAGTAGATATTAACTGATGAGTTTCTCTTTTCCAACACAGACATTTAACCCTTTGCAGAGAGGTTTTAGAAGCTATCAATTTGTAACTTAGGCTTTTCAGGAAAAGCGAAGTACTGGTGGTACATTTGAATTCCAAAGAGAGATGCTGGTAAAATCCCAAACCACCACCTCTAGGCAAGAATTGGAGCAAAAAGCATCACTTGAAGGAAATGTTACTTAATTGCTTGTTTTTTATTATTCTAACTGTCCACGTCCACTCCTTCAGCTATTTCCTCAAGTCTTCCCCTACCACCCAGGCCTGGATGGCTGCTCCTGCACCTACATTCTTACAGGTCCCTGAGGTGTATCCCTGGATCTTACATCCCAGTCAGTACTGTTTCAGGCTCGTCTTTGACTGGGTCACGGTTGTAGGTGTGGCCTTCCCAAATAATCTGGGACACCCTGACACGAAAGGTCACATCTGTCCCTCTGACTCCCCACTGCTCCTTGCACATCGTGGTTTGTACAATAGGGCTGAGCATGGGCTGACAATGGAAGCCTTGGACTTGGACCAGAAGACCTGGAGACCATGCCCCGTGTGGCCCCCAACTGACTAGTGATTGACCTTGGAAAATTAGCTTTTTTCTGTCTGAGCTTTAGTGTCCCTGTCCATAGAGTGAAGAGGATAGATTCTTTAAGGCCCATCCCTAGTGTTCTATGATTGTGCGATTTCTAACAAATGCCAGATTGTACCTCCATTTCTCTCTCTCTCTCTACACACACACAAACACACACACACTGAAACATGCACACGTACCCGCCTTGTACCTCACTTCTCCTTTCTTCTCCCTGTATTTGTGAAGTAGCAGGCAACTGTACCATTTCAAATGAAGCAAACACACAACCTCACATTATTGCTGTTAGGCCTCTACTGATAAATGCTCCTAAGACTGGCAGTTATTCTAACAATATCAACATAACATTGACCCCAACTCCCACTGAATACAAAACTGAGCACCACATGTGTCCAATTCTTCACCGTTTATAGGACAGTTTTACACCCTATCCTCTATAATTCTACAGTAACCTGTTATTGGTGAACCCATTTTACAGAAGCGGGTTCAGCACAGTCACATAGCTCTTCAGGAAGTTGTCTTCACTGCACAGAAACCAGCCGCCCCTCCTTGAGGTGCCTCAGGCCAGCTGCAGCTCCTTCTGCTCTAAGCCGGAGTCAGGAGGGAGTAGTGAGAGTTCACAATGAGAAAAGAACAAGGAGAAGAGATGGAGAAAGAGGAAGGGAGAGGAGAAGTGGGTAGCTATGGGCCTGATACTGAGGAAAAGTCCCCAGCCTTAACCTGACCTCAGCTCACAATGCCCTACACCTCCTGGGATTTAGAACCCGTGAGTTACTCTTCTGACCCTCTGCCACTTCCTTGCCCTCTCCTGCCCTCTCCCCTGCTGTGGCTTCCCTAAAAAGAATGTCCCTTGCAATCTCTCTCCAGCTGTTTGATCTTTTTAAATGTCCCTCACTTGTCTGTGGCATGTGCTTAAACCAAAAAATAGACCTTGGGCATTCAAGATGGGAAAGAGTATTAAAAGGCAAAAGCCTGCCTCGTGCCAGGGGTGTGGGCAGCCCCTAGATATCTATGATGACCAGATGTCCTGGATTTGCTGGGACAGGCCTAATTTAAAACCTTCTAGTCTCTTGCCCCATAAGTACCTTCACACTTGTCAGACCATGTGTCCCTATTTGGGGCTTGGAAAATATAGTTACCACATGGATACCCGATATCCAAGTGTCACACAGGCCCAGTGTCAGCGTCAGGGGTGGGAAGTGTACAGATATTGAAGCCAGATGGAGCTGCAGTCAACCAGCTCTGCCACTTACCATCTGTGTGGCTTCAGGCAGTTTTTATTCTTTCCAAGCCTCAGTTTCTTCATCTAGACAATGACTAGTTAACCAATAAGTCAGCCCCATAGAGTTTGCCTTATCAGCAAAACCAGTGCTCCTAGACACTTAATACCTTCCAGCCATTCTGTCTGTGCTGTCATATTGTTTTAGTACTTCAGATTTTGGTCACATTTGATGCATTACTATTTAAAACATTAACATAAATGTATGGTTCAGGGAGCATCTTAAACAGCCATGATAATGGAACCAAAATACCCGAACAGATATAAAACATTCTTATTTCTTCCTGCCCATTTATTCTAAATCCCCCATTCCTCAGGACTCCATTCATATCCACTACCCACTGTTCCCTAACAGTTTCATGTGGACTGATCCTGTCCCAGCGGGGTCAGGGTTCTCATCTGGATGTTGCTGTAGGCTCCAGGTGGCTTTTGCTTCTGTTCTCATGCCCTGCAATCCACTGGCCACAGCTCCAACAAGTGGACCTTCCTTGAGCGCCTTTCCCCACCTAGTACTCAAGGGCCAAGGTGGGCAATAGAAGGTGGGGTTGGGGGGTCCACTGTGGAGACAGAAATTGCTCTATCTGATCCTGGTCCCCACTAACCTGCTGTGTGACTTAGGGCTGGTCACTTGATTTTCCCAACCTCAGTACCCTCATCTGAAAACTAGAGTTGAATTTCCTATATCTTGCACCCATGAGAAGCATTTTCAAAGCCTTACTATTACTATGTCATTGTAAAGGATTTACTTACAACTGATACCTCAGAAATTGAAATGATCATTAGTGGCTACTATGAGCAACTATATGCCAATAAATTGGAAAATCTAGAAGAAATGGGTAAATTCCTAGACACATACAACCCACCAAGACTGAACCATGAAGAAATCCAAAACCTGAACAGACCAACAATAAACAATGAGATCAAAGCTGTATAAAAAGTCTCCCAGAAAAGAAAAGCCCAGGATCTGATGGATTCACAGCTGAATTCTACCAAACATTTAAAGAAGAACTAATATCATTCCTGCTCCAACTATTCCAAAAAATAGAGGAGGGGGAATACTTCCAGACTCAGTCTATGAGGCCAGTACAACCCTGATACCAAAAGCCAGACAAAAACACATTGAAAAAAGAAAACTGCAGACCAATATTTCTGATGAATAATGGTATAAAAATCCTTAACAAAATACTAGAAAAGCAAATTCAACAACAAATTAAAAATATCATTCATGATGACCAAGTGGGATTTATCCCTGGGATGCAAGGATGGTTCAACATACACAAATCCATTAATGTGATACATCATGTATCACCAGAATGAAGGACAAAACCCATACAATCATTTCAATTGGTGCTGAAAAATCATTTGATAAAATTCATCATCTCTTCATGATAAAAACCCTCAAAAAAAAACTGGGTGTAGAAGGAACATACTTCAATATAATAAAAACGCTACACAACAGACCCATAGCTAGTGTCACACTGAATGGGGAGAAACTGAGACCCTTCCCTCTAAGATTGGGAACATGACAAGGATGCCCACTTTCACTACTGTTATTCAACATAGTCCTGGAAGTGTTAGCTAGATCAATCAGACAGGAGGAAGAGATATAGAGTTTCCAAATTGGAAGGGATGGTGTCAAACCATCCTTGTTTGCAGATGATATGATCTTATATTTGGAAAAACTGAAGACTCCATCAACAAACTTTTAGAACTGATCAACAAATTCAGTAAAGTTGCAGGATACAAAATCAACATACAAAAATCAGTAACATTTCTATATGCCAACAGGGAATAATCTGAAAAAAAATCAAGAAACTAATTCCATTTACAATAGCTACAAATAAAATAAAATACCTAAGAATTAACTAAAGTAGTTAAAGATCTCTATAATGAAAACCATAAAACATTGATGCAAGAAATTGAAGAAGACACACAAAAAATGGAAAGATATTCTGTGTTCACTGATGGGAAGAATCCATATTGTTAAAATGTCCATACTATCCAAAGCAATCTACAGATTTAAGTCAATCCCTATCAGCATACCAATGACATTCTTCACAGAAATAGAAAGAACAATTCTAAAATTTATATGGAACCACAAAAGACCCAGAATAGCCAAAGCTATCCTAAGCAAAAAGAACTAAATTGGAGGAGTAACATTACCTGACTTTAAATTATACTACAGAGCTATATTAACCAAAACAGCATGGTACTGGCCTAAAAACAGACACACATAGACCAGTGGAACAGAACAGAGAACCCAGAAACAAATCCATACATACACAGTGAACTCATTTTTGACAAAGGTGCTAAGAACATACATTAGGGAAAGGACATTCTCTTCAATAAATGGTGCTGGGAAAACTGGATATCCATATGCAAAAGAATTAAACTAGATCCTTGTCTCTTACCACATACAAATATCAAATCAAAATGGAATAAAGACTTAAATCTAAGGCCTCGAACTGTGAAACTACCAAAAGGAAACATTGGGGAAGCTCTCCAGGACACTGGACTGGGCAAAGATTTCTTGAGTTAATACCTCACAAGCAAGGCAACCATAGCAAAACTGGACAAATGGAATCACATCAAGTTAAAAAGCTTCTGCACAGCAAAGGAGCAAATCAAGACTGCAATGAGATATCATCTCACCCCAGTTAAATTGGCTTTTATCCAAAAGTCAGGCAATAACAAATGTTGGAGAGGATGTGGAGAACAGGGAACCTTCGTACACTGTTTGTAGGAATGTAAATTCGTACAACCACTATGGAGAACAGTTTGGAGGTTCCTCAAAGAGCTAAAAATAGAGCTATTATATGATTCAGCAATCTCACTCTTAGGTATATACCCAAAAGAAAGGAAATGAGTCTATCAAAGAGACATCTGCACACCCATGTTTACTGCAGCACTAGTTACAATAGCCAAGCTTTGGAGGCAACCTAAGAGTCCATCATGGCTAAATGGATAAACAAAATATGGGACATATATGCAACCGAATACTATTCAGCCATGAAAAAGAATGAGATCCCGTCATTTCCAACAACATGAATGGAACTGGAGGACATTATGTTAAGTGAAATAAGCCAGGCACAGAAAGACAAACTTCACATTCTCACTTATTTGTGGGAGCTAAAATTTAAAATAATTGAACTCATGGAGATAGAAAATAGAAGGATGGTTATTAGAGGCTGGGAAGGGTAATGAGGGGGTTGATAGGAGAGTGGGGATGGTTCATGGGTACGAAAAATAGGAAGAATGAATAATACCTAGTATATGTGAGCATAACAGGGTGACTATAGTAAATATATATATATATATATATATATATATATATATATATATATAATTATTTTTTTTTTGAGACGGAGGTTTGCTCTTGTTGCCCAGGCTGATCTCGGCTCACTGCAGCCTCTGCCTCCCGGGTTCAAGAAATTCTCCTGCCTCAGCCTCTGGAGTGGCTAGGATTACAGGCATGCGCCAACACGCCCGGTTAATTCTGTATTTTTAGTAGAGACAGGGTTTCTCCATGTTGGTCAAGCTGGTCTCGAACTCCCGACCTCAGGTGATTCGCCCACCTCGGCCTCCTAAAGTGCTGGGATTACACGGCTGAGCCACCAAGCCCAGCCTCGTAAAAATAATTGAATCATACACTTAAAAATAACTGAAAGAGTATAATTGGATTGTTTGTAACACAAAGGCTAAATGCTTGATGTGACGGATACTCCATTCACCCTGATGTGGTCATTATGCATTGCATGCCTGTATCAAAATACCTTATGTACCCCATAAATATGTACCACCTACTATGTACCCCCAAAAATTAAAAATTAAAATAAATTTAAAATTTTTTTTAAAGGATGTATTCCTCCACTCCCAAACCGCCTTCAGCAACTACTTCCAGGCACATCAAGTAAAAACTCAGCATTCAAAACCCTTCGAACACACCCAGCATTCAGAGTCCTCCATACTCTGGCCATACCCCCAAGCTTCTCTTACCTATTTCCCACGAGCACATGCTTTTTGTACCGGCCATAGCCAGCCCCTTGCTGCTGGCTCACCCTTGCCTCTGAAGCTGTGCCATACTGTTCCCTTCACCAGGCACGCCCTCCATGCTCCTATCTAAGCATTCCCTCCTTGAGTCTCTCTAGACTGAGTCACATCCTTTCCCCACTGCTATGGACTGAACTGTATCCCCCAAAAGCCATAGGTTGAAGCCCTAGCTCCCCGTGTGACTGTATTTGGAGACCTGGCCTTTATAGAAGTAATTAAGGTTAACTGAGATCATAAGGGTGGGGCCCTAATCTGATAGGATTGGTGTCTTCATAAGAACAGACTTGCTCTCTCTCTGTGGTCACATGACGACACAGTGAGCAGACAGCCTTCTGCAAGCCAGGAAGAGCACCCTCACTAACAACCTAATTCGCCATCATCTTGATCTTGGATCTCCCAGCCTCCAGAGCCAGGAGAAAATAAATGACTATTGTTTAAGCCACCAGTCTATGGTATTTTAGCAATCATTCATACACACACACAGCATCTGCTTTGTGCCAGCCACTATACAAGTCACTTTAGACGCAGTATCAGTTGATCTCCATTTTACAGATGAGAAAACCGAAGCTTAGATTAAGCAACTTGCCCAAGGTCACACATCTGGTGAGATTCCTAGCCAGTGGTAAATTGCATAACATTCAGCCAACAAACAGAGCAGCTGCCATAAGCAGAGTTCTCAAATAATCATTTGTGTGGAAATCAAAAAGGAGGGCAACACAGTCTCTGCCCTCAGGAAACTCCGGAAGGGAGGAGAGGACAGGTAGGCCATGAGTTACAGGGGGCCACAAACGTCATAAACAGGCGTTTGTCAAAGGCCGCCGGAGAACCGGGAAGCAATGATTGGGCAAATCTGGGAAGACTTCCACAGAGGAGGTGGCAAGCCGGAACAAGGCACACAAATGCCAGGTGCTCGTAGAGGGCTGGATACAATGGGGGCTTCACTACCAGGCCTGTCAGGTGGGGCACCCCCAGAAAATCAGGCTGAGGTGACGGACTGGGACGTCTCGCAGCATGAGGCTGAGTTTAGGCAAAGCTGTCGGGGTCCCAGGACCCATGATTTCCCCCCACCCCCGTCTGCCCCATTCCCAACTTCTCTATGGGGCAGGAACTCGACGAGGGGCACCATGCTGCAGAGAAAGGGCGCCATGCCTTTGGGGCTGGGGCTCGGCAGAAGGTCCTCTGAGCGTGGATTCCAACAGGAGCTCTGCCGCCACCCAGCAGGGTGACCTTGAATACGTCTGCCCGCATGGCTGGGCTTCAAAGACCTTGCCTGGGTGATGTGTGAGCACATGTGATTCCCGCTCACACCAGGCTCTAGGCTACCGTGCAGGCGGGAGCGCGTGGGGTGGTGCAGATCCCTTGCCTCGCCCCGGTGGGGGAGGCTGTTTCTGATTTGGGGGAGCAGGCAGCGTGGGGCCTCCCGTTCAGAGCTCTCTCACCACTGGGCCTGACCTCAGGGCGCCTGGCTGGGGCCAGGAAGGCGTTCGCGTCAGACAACCCCAGCGGGGAAGCCCCCCTCTCCCGCGGGCCAAACCGCAGCTTCTTGCAGCCACTCGCCCCGGCCGGTTTCGGGAGGAGGGCGGCGCTCCGAAGGCGGCCGCGCGCAACGGGGCCTCGGTCTGTGGACCAGCGTCCCCTGAGAAGCAGAAGGGGTGTGAAGGGCAGGAAAGGGGCCGTGCCGGGCTGTCCCTCCCGCCGCCTGCTCCGCGGGTGGCGCCCGGGGCCGGGTGGCAGCGGGGTGTGGGCGGGGAGACGCGGCGGGCGCGGGGGCGGCCGGGCAGGCGGCGCGCGCTCGGAAGTGCCCCCGGGCGGCCTCCGCGGCAGGCGGCTCCTGTTTCCCGGCTCCCGCCCGGGCGGGCGCGGGGCAGCTGCTGGGAGGTGAGCGGAGCAGCGTTTTCCCACAGTCTGGGGCGGTGACACATGGCGCTCACACATTCCACAGCCGGCGGCCGCGCCAGGCCTGGCTGCGAGTCAAGGCAGCGCCGGGAGCTGCCGACGAGCAGGTTCCGACTTTGGCACCCGCCGCGCCGCCTTCCCGCCTTCCCCACGCCCGGCGGGGGCGGAGGGGGACGCAGAGGGGCCCGCGCCGGCGGCTTAACCCTTGGACGTCTAGACACAACTTTGATCAGCAGTTTATTGAATCTCAGTGTGTGTCTCACCCAGGTGCTGAATAAATGTCGAATGCATGAATGAATTACTGAATGAATGAACGAATGAACGAACAAATGAATGGACGCGCGCACACATGCTGTAGGGAGCCCTTCTTGGCTCGCTCACGTAACGCACCTATGCAACAACTGGCCAATACGCTTTCCAAAGCTCCTGACTCCCACTCCGTACATTCTTTGGTGGTGTTTCTTTGAGACAGAGTCTCTCTGTCGCCCAGGCTGGAGTGCAGTGGCGTGATCACTGCAACCTCTGCCTCCCAGGTTCAAGCGATTCTCGTGCCAGGCTCCCACCACCACGCCCGGCTAATTTTTGTATTTTTAGTAGAGACGGGGTTTCGCCATGTTGGCCAAGCTGGGCTAGAACTCCTGACCCTGTCAGGTGATTCGCCTACCTCAGCCTCCCAAAGTGCTGGGATTACAGGCATGAGTCACCGCGCCCAGCCACTCTGTACATTCTTGAAAGGCCCCTGAAGTAAGGGGGGGATGTTGGCACCCCCAGTTTACAAGGAGGAAAGCGACTAGGAGAAGTAGCTTGCTAGGGGTGGCTTTGCACTTCTAGATTCAGATAGGAACCGCCAAAGAGATGGGGAATGGGGAAGCGGGGACATCCCCGTCATCTCCCCTCCCACCATTGGACATGGTAGGCCGGGCGGGAGTCAAGGCAGTGCTTATGCCTCGACTCCAGCCCAGAGCCTGGTGTGAGTGAGCATCACCTGTGGTCAGAGATCAGCCATTTGCCTCTGAGTCGGTGATGAGGGCGTTTGCCAATCTCTGGCGGGACTCCTTCCCACAACTCTCTGTTTACTGATGAGCAGTGGAAACCTTGATCAAAGACTATTCTGGCAACCATTTGACAGAAACAAAAACAATTTGAAAACTGCTTTAAAAAAAAATAGAACTTCCGATTCTGGGGTGGAGATCTGTTCCTATGAGATGGCACCATTCCTGTATTCTGCTTCCCTTGGGCCTCTGTGTGACTCCTCTGGACCTCCAGCTCCCTTACTGCATCTAACTGCCCAGGGTAGAGACTACACTGAAACAGGGACCCTTCACTCCAAATCCCACAAACCGAGGAACCGGCAAATCATCCCACAAAGAAGCTGCCCAGACCCCAGGGCGCAGGAAGGGCTCTGGAAACACTGTGATGTTTCCAGAACTGCCTTACATACATTGCCTTTCATTCTCACAACACCCTAATGAGAGGGGTGGTATTATTGCCCTGGCTTATAGCTAAAAGTACTGACATTTAAAGAGGTGAAATCACTTGCCTAAGGTCACAGAGCTATAAATGTACTTGACCCCATGTTTGCCTAACCACCAACCAGTGCTTTGTCAACCAGGTCTCAAAGTTTAGATGTAATTCAGATTACATTCCGCATACACACCCTCTCCTCTCACCTCCTCATAGCACATGCACACATGCAGACCTGCCCGACCTTTACCTTCTCCAAGTATTAAGAGAATCTCACTTGATCCTCAATGGCTCTGACTTTGGTAGAACCTGGTAGAACTTTTCAAACTCACTTTTGGTCTGTGAAGTAAACTACCTCCACCCTCTGACTCCATAATCAATATGTTCTCCAATCATTACAACATAATCAAAAGACAAAGATGTCAGCCCTGGAGATTCATGACCAGCTGGCCACATTCAAGGTAACTCAGTTGATTAGCATTCACTGTGAACCTACTATTGCCAGGCACCTAACGTGCGTGCTGATGGAGATGAGAGAGGGGACTAGGAAAACAGAAGGACCCAGAGGAGGTAAAAAGGAGAAAACAATCCAGAAGACCCATACGCCCCACTTGGGGCTCCCAATCACTCAGATTGGAAAGATTCATAAAGACACAATTAGATCGTAGGCTGCTAAGAGATGTATAAACTAAGTGGCAGTATACAGGTGAGAATGCACCTGGAGGAAGGGTTGTCTAAACAGGTGACATTTATGTTGAGTCTTTATCTTAATTCATGTTGTGCTCTTATAACAGAACACCCCAGACTTGGCATCTATCTATTTATCTATTTTATTTATTTATTTATACATAAAATCTTTCAGAAAAAATATTTACTTATTTTTAATGACAGATTCTAATTGTGCTGCCCAGGCTGGAGTGCAGTGGCCATTCACAAGCACAGTCATAGCTCACCACAGCCTCAAACTCCTGAGCCTGGAACCACAGGCATGCAACACCATGCCCTGCTTTAGATAATTTTTTTTTTTTGAGATGGAGTCACTCTGTTGCCCAGGCTGGAGTGGAGTGCAATGGTGCGATCTTGGCTCACTGCAATATCCACTTCCTGGGTTCAAGCGATTCTCCTGCCTCAGCCTCCCAAGTAGCTGGGATTACAGGCACACACCACCACACCTAGCTAATATTTGTATTTTTAGTAGAGAGGGGGTTTCACCATGTTGGCCAGGCTGGTCTGGAACTCCTGACCTCAGGTGATGCACCCACCTTGGCCTCCCAAAGTGCTGGGATTACAGGAGTGAGCCACTACACCCAGCCTGCTTTGGATAATTTAATAAGTAGGAATTTATTGGCTCATAGTTCTAGAGGCTGGGAAGTCCAAGATCCAGGAGCTGACATCTGCTGAGGGCCCTCTTGCTGCATCATCCCATGGCAGAAGGGCAAAGAGAGGAGGAGAGAGAGAGAGAGAGAGAGGATAAAAGGGGGCTGAACTTCACCGTTTACAACAAACCTACTCCAGTGATAATAGCATTAATCCATTCACTCCACCTTCATGGCCTAATTACCTCTCATTAGGCCCCACTTCCCAACACTGTTGGCTTTGGGATTTAGTTTCCAACACGTGCTTTCTGGGGAACACATTGAAACTATGGCACCCTTGGAGAATGACTAGTTCTCCAGATGAAGGTAATGGGGAAGGCCACTGCAGGTAGAGGAGACACAATATGATAACTTAGAAAGGACACAGAAAATATAAACCATAAATTAAAAATTGAGAATTTTATGTTATCAAAATGTAAAATGTCTGCTTGCAAAACATACACCATCAAGAAAACAAACAGATAAACCACAAACCAGGAGAAAATATTCACAAAACATATATCTGACAAAGGACATACATATAGAACATATAAAGAACTTCTGTCACTCAACAATAGAAGACAATCTAGTTTTTTTAAGGACCAAAGACTGAAAAGACACTTTACAAAAGAAGATACACAAATAACCACAATAAGCACGTGTGAAAGCACTCAACATCATCAGTCACCAGAGAATGCAAATTAAAATTATGAGCTACCCCTACATACCTGCTAGAATGGCTAGAATTAAAAACTGACAACGCCAGGTGTTGGAGAGAACTGGAACTCTCGTACCTCACTAATAAGAATGTTAAATGGTACAGCCACTTTAGAAAACTGAGAGTTTCTTTAAAAGGTGAATATATACTGACCCAGTGGGATACTGGTAAATTTTTAACAATGACCTCTCCACAGGGAAGTTGAGGCTGCCATGAGCTGTGATTGTGCCACTGTACTCTAGCCCAGGTGACAGAGGGAAACCCTGACTAAAAAATAAAATACAATCAAAAACTAATGGGCTCTCCAGAAGAAAAACAAATGCTACAAAGCCTGATTTGTAGCATTTTCTGATTTCCCTGGTATAAATCTTCTACCATGGCCGATTTCAAGCTACCCACATGACGACACTGAAGGCAGCATTGGGAAGAGATGACCACGAGTGGCTCTTGCTCACTTGTCCCGGTCCACTCCAGCACACCACTATATCTACTCCACGACCTAGCAACCTACTGAGTCATAGGCATTTACCTAAGATAAATGGAAGCACAAGTCCACAAAACGTCTCCTGCAAGAATGCTTGTAGCAACTTTACTTGTAGCTCCAAACTGGAAACAACCTAGGTGACCATCACAAGAGAACAGATATATTTGCACTATATTTGCACAATGGGATACTACTTAGCAACAGGAATGAATGATCTACTGAGACATGCAGCAACTCAGATGAATCTCAAAAATACCAAGCTGTGTGAAGGAAGGCAAACATGAGAAGTGCATCCTGTTTGCCTTTATATGAAATCTGGAATAGCTGAAACTAACCAATAGTGATAGAAACCAGATCACGGTTGCTGGGTGATGGTGGGCATTGACTGGGAAGGAAGGACTTTCTGGGGTGATAGAAATGTTCTGGACCCTAATATGCCTTGATCAAAATGGAATCTTTACAATCGGAGCATTTCACTGTATATAAATTATGCGTGTAAAAGAAAAAGGCATCACACCTAAAAAGCCTGGATTTCCCTTTACTTCGATATTCAAGACAGCTTAGAAGCAGAGGATCGCAGATCAGCTTGGGGGCTGCAAAACAACTGCCTCAGCACATGGGTTCAGGGAGTAAGCTGTGTTCCTCTTGCTTTCTTTTAGCAAAATCAACAAAGCATTATTTGCTTTGTTGGCCACTGTGGTTACCAGGTCTCCAGCCACAGGACAGAGTATGGGCTGAGCCGGCAGAGGGCACTGAGGTCAGCCTGGCCTGGTCCTGCCCACAGCCCACTCGTCATTCCTCCATCCCCTCCTTCATTGTTGAGGAAGCCATTTTTGAGAAACTTGCAAAGTTACTCCATCCCCAGTTATCTTCAGTTTCTCCTGTTTTCCTCCACTCCTTCTCCCCTCATCCACAACCTTCCATCCCTCTTCTACCTAAATACTCTTAGAGAGCCATGTGCTAAAGATTTAATAGCCCAGGGCAGTCAGGAACCCCTGATTCCAAGAGTTCTGCTAGTCACTCAAGCACAAAAATTGGTTAGTAACTTGTCAAAGGTTACCCCGTGCGTTGACTTTCACTTACTCACTCTCTGAGCCTCACTTTTTTTAAATTTGCAAAATAAGGGAAATAATTCTCAGCAGTCAATTTTAGGGATAAAATGAGAATCTGTGAAAATATCAGCCAGTTTGAGGGATTTCAAGTTTATGGCTAGTTTTCTCTTTTTATATTTTATTGTAATTAATCGTTACTATAAGCATTTTCAGGCCATTCTAAAGAGGGGGTGCAGTTCTCCCAAGTCCTGCACGGAATGAGGAGCAAAGCCAGGATCCCAGCCTGGGTCTCTGCTCTTCGGTCAGCTCGGTGCTTTCCCAGGTGGAAGGCCAGCTGGCCCAGGGCACTGCAGCGGACTCCACCTACTCACGTTTCCATCTCTGCAATTCTAGAAAAATAGCACAGAGGGCCAGGTGCAGGAAGGTCGAAAGGCTGTTATCTCACACAAAAACAGTAAAATTCCTTTCACACCCTTCTACCTCCCACCCTTTAATTAGTCTCTTATGAACATAAAGTCTCCTTGACTTTTCAAAGTTTTATAAAGAATTACTTGTGGAACTCTTGGAGACCAAGTGTGAGGCACTTATAAAACTTCACATAATACACAGAGTTTCCTTTAGCTTTTCCGTATTTTATTCACACACACTTTCCCGTAACAACATGTGCCAGTCATTCTCCAGCTGCTCCCCACCCCTCCCACCCCGTAACTTCATTCTCCTTCACACTTTCTGCTGGAAAAATTGCTGCTTCCAAGGCCCTCCAAAATATTTCGAGCTACTCTCCTTAATTGCCTTGCTCCTCAGAGTTCATGTGCCTTCAGTCTTCTTATTTGAGGCAGGGTCTCACACTGCTGCCCAGGCTGGAGTGCAGTGGTGCCATCATAGCTCACTGTAGCCCGGACCTCCTGGGCTCACATGATTCTCCCACCTCAGAGCTCATGGGTAGCTAGGACTACAGGAGCATGCCACCACACCTGGCTAATTTTTTATTTTTATTTTTTTGTAGAGACAGGGTTGTATTATTTTGCCCAGGCTGGTCTCAAACTCCTGCCTCAGCCTTCCAAAGTGCCAGAATTACAGGCATGAGCCACCACACCCGATCTGAACTTCTTGTTTGACTCTCTGGTGTTCCCCAGGCAACAGTACTGGGGAACTGGAAACAGTACTTTCTTGTCTCTGTGCATTGCTCCTGTTGTCTCCCCTATATCCCCTTAACCTTCACACAGTATCCCCCCTTCAGAACTCAGCTCAAAGGCCGGCCAGCTCCTCCATGAAGCCTTCACCATGTCTCCTCTGAGCCCTATGCCACTTTTCTAAGCCTCTTTGTTGTGGCACCATCCCTGTCTCCCTCCCTTGTACATAAACAGTCTGGGAAGTTGTTGAGTTGATGGGTAGATGGATGGAGGGAGGGATGGGTGAATGGTTGGAGGAATGGAGGGATGGAGGGATGGATGAATGGGTGGAGGGATGGAGGGATGAATGGATGGATAGACTCAGCCACATATGTATGAAATGTATATGAATTGTTGAGTGAATAGATAGATAACAGGCAGGCAACATTTTCTAGAGCTATTATATAAGACATACTCATACTTGGAGTTTCAGCATCGTGTTAATATATTTACTTGTTCAATGTTTATTCAACGGTTTTTGTTTCTTTTCTATCCATCCCCAATCTATGTCTGATGCAGGAGACAGGCACTTGGGAATATTTAATTCAGGCTGGATCCTAAATCATGTGCAGTCTATGTTTATGGATAACGAAGAGCTAAATACATTTTAATATTGTTCCCAAGGTGAAGCCTGATGAGTTTTTACTAGCATTCAAAAGTGGGCGTCAATATATTTCTTCTTTCTGTGTTTTGGTTCCCAGCTGAGTGGAAGGTCAACCAGTCCAACTTCTCATGTTTCAGAAGAGGAAAGCAAGGTCTGGAGAGGGAACGTGGCTTGCCCAAGGTCAGAGGTAGAGGGAGATTAAAACTCTGGGTTTTGACTCTCAATTCCTTGTTCGGTCCTTGACACCTTAAAACTTAAAGTCAAAGAGCTGCCTTATCCATTACAGATATGTTTCAAACTTTGATGAAAAGCAGGGAAGTTTGGGAAGAAAATCCAAGACTTCTCTGGAGAGAGGTAAGATTTCTGCATTATAGATTCTTTCTTTGTTTTACATCATTACATATGAGACCTTCGCTTTCCAAGGTCTCATTTGTACAATGAAGAGAAAACTGCTATGCCCCTGACTCCGTCCAAGGGCCTCTGGAACATTCTAGAATTGTATTTCCACAGTTAGCGCTGCTCTGATTTGGGAAAAGAAGAATTGAAGATTTTTGTAGTGTTGGCTCTGACTTCCCTTCTTAGCAAAACTTCTAATGTCCTAGTGGACGTGGCAACAGCTTGAAAAACTCCTCTAGGACCAGACAGATAATTAACCCTTTCTCTGCTCTGCTGATATAACTACTTTCCACAGTTTTTATGGAAGAACAAAATGCCCACGAAACCTCTGTGCACGACTAATTTATCTGACACCCTGGCTCTGACTTCTCTATCCCAAAATTCAACTCAACAACACTTTCCAGAAATTTCTAAAATTTCTTTGATCCAAGGTTTCCAGAAATACCTACAGTTCTGTTTGTCTATTATAATTTTTTGATGACCATGGTTCAAAACCTTAGCTTACTCCTTTAAAAAATACCATTATCGGCCCAGGCACAGTGGCTCACACCTGTAATCCCAGCACTTTGGGAGGCCAAGGCGGGTGGATCACCTGAAGTCAGGAGTTTGAGACCAGGCTGGCCAACATGGTGAAACCCCGTCTCTACCAAAAATACAAAAATTAGCCAGACATGCTGGTGGGCACCTGAAATCCCAGCTACTCGGGAGGCTGAGGCAGGAGAATCACTTGAACCTGGGAGGCGGAGGTTGTAGTGAGCCGAGATCGTGCCATTGCACTCCAGCCTGGGCAACAAGAGTAAAACTCCGTCTCAAAAAAAGAAAAAGAAAAAGCAAAAAAAAACCTAGTATCTGTCTCAAAACTCTGAATAACAAAGGGCACAACTTATCTATCATCATAAATGCAGCCAGTGACTACTCAGGGGCACTAAAACAATTTTTAGATTGTTACTCTCCCCTCAGAAATTCACAGATTGTAGGAAGAAAGCAGAAAAGTAGCCAGAGAATGGGGGCACGTGGGAGGGCGTCTCTGCAAGAACTGGGCCTCTTCCCCCAGTACCCAAGCAGCAATTAAGACTGGTCAGCCAACCCAAAATGTGTCCGGCTTTTATGAATTTCCAATCAATAGCCAAAACGCCAGAAGTTTCTTTTCAAATTAAAAAGAGAGAGAGAGAGAGCGTGAGGGAGGAAGAAAGGAAGAAATCCAAACAGTGGACAAAAACAAGGCGACCGTGGCTCCCACTCCAGCCTGCGAAGCGGCGACAATGGTGAGAAATCAATGCCCAGAACCACAAGGCAGCTTTCAGACACCTCTTGACCCTGTCACTTCCTGGGTAATTAAGAGGCACTACAGTTCCGTGTCACTGTCAGGGGCTGAATGTATATCGATAGATAGATATATATGTTCTTAAAAGATTCTTTTTCTACAGCGGTGGTCAGGATCCTGCCAAAGAAAAGCGGGAGAAGAAAGGCATTTTGTCCAGAGTGCAGTGAAAGGAAACATGAAAGGAGAAACCTAAATTTTTCAGTACAGTCTGCCCCTGACATGGGAAAATGGCGCAGACAAGAATAGACGGCTTGTTCGCCGTTGAGTTTTTTTCTTCCTTCCCTTGACAGATTATCTCTGTGAATGTGGTGTAGGCAGCAGGGCACCCCGCCCTCTCTGTTCTTCTTCGGATACCTTAAGGACATGAATGCAAAGCCTGGGGTCTACATGACAGGCTGAGTCAATGCTTGGCTGCATGGGGCTTTAAAGGGGGCCGCCTTCCTTCCAAGGGCCTCAGTTTCCCTAAATGAGGGAAATTGGACTAAACCCGCTCTGGAGACTTTTCCAGGGCTGGCATTCACTGAGACCATCAGAAACAGTTTTTTCTTCTGACCCTACCCAGAAAACAGAGGAACATAGAGTTCCAGGTGAGCAGAAGTGGCCTCCCCACCCATGCCTATGAAATACCAGCAACCAAGGCCACTCAGAGAAGGTCGGACCAACCCACTGGAGAGAGGGAACCTCTAAAGGCACTTTGCCAGCTCTGACCCTGATGGTTCTTTGGCGAGTCTGCATCCTTTCCCTGTGGCACTTGTCTGTGGGGCTCAACTCAGAGAGTTGAGCGCAGTCTGCTTTGCAAATGAATGCAAGCCACATGTCCGCCATGGACTGGGAACTCCCTGGCCCACAGCCCTCACTGATTATCCCGACATCCCTCCCAGGGCCAGCAGCAAGCCTGGGCCCCACACAAGAGGTGCTCGGTGAATGTTTATTAAGCCAACATCTGACTTTAATGATACAGCAGGGAGAAGGAAGCTTGTTCTCACGGGGTGCCTCAGTGAATCACTTTCGCATAAACCTGAGAGTTTTATTTCAGCAAACCAGTCCCTTTCCTGAGTCCTTGGTAACAAATTTTACTCCTGGAGGGCAAGAACACAGTTCTATCATCTCTCTATGCTTACTACTAGGACAGTGACAGGGTGTACACACCAATAAAGTTTGAGGGAAGGAATGGATGATGTCACACACTGAGGTCTTCCTCCTGGGTCTGCCACCTGGCCCTCAGCATGGGGGCTGGTGTATATAGTGACTGTCAGTGTGGCACTCCAATACCCTGAGATGAGTGACATTCTCCACATGGTACAGCAGGGGTGTTATATGCACGTGGCACATGTGCAGAACACCCTGTACGTTGCATTGGCTGTCACAGCAAAGAGGCCCCTGTCACTCACTCTTGGAATATCAGAAGGATAAAGATACTAGTAAATGGGAAAGGGGAATTCCACTTATCTAGAGGAAAAGTACAATATAAATTTACTATCACAATATATGTTTATAACTAAGGCAAAGCTTATCTTGGTGTTCTCTCTCGCTCATTGGATAGGTGCTGTGTTTTATAGCATCGGGCTGGACCCAGGAAGCTGGCTCCCAAAAACCTGGGCTTCCTTTGCAACCTCTACATGAGGAAGAGGCACCAGTTAGTGTGACCCATCCTGGGTAAGGATAGGCTTTCCCTAGGTACAAAAAGATCATTATTACCTTGGCCTCTTGGCCACTTTTTCTTCTGGCTAGCTTAAAACCCGTTCATTTGTTCTCACAGTGGCTTGAGGGACAAAAGGGCAAGTATTACCAGCCCTAGGGTTGCTAGGTGGCTACAGGGCACTTGGAATATGGCTATGGTTACTGCCGCTGAAGAATTGAATTCATTTTATTACACTCTAATTAATTTAAACAAATTTAAACGGCTGCATGTGTCTGGTTGCCACCGTGTTAAACAGCATAGCTCTAAATTCTTCACCTAAAAAAATGTGTAAAACCTAAAGTATTTGGTGACTTGATAAAGCCTTGAAAAATCTAAATAAGATAATAGATAAACCAACTAAAAGGAGGAAGAGGCCTCTTAACTGTCACTTGGAGACCACCCAGGACTGTATTTTCAAAGTCTATTAGCACCTGCCCAGAGTTGGTGGCAGAGCCTACCCCGACGTAGCCGCTCATGCCCCCACAGGGATGCGTCTCCCCCTCCAGTGCACGCTGGCATGCAAGCCCCTGAGTAGCCCCCACCCTAGCACTGATGACAAGGCTTGTGCACAGCAGCTTTGCTAGACTGTGAGCTCCCAGGGGACAGAGACTGGCTTTACCTATCACTGAATACCTCCCTCCCTGCAATTCCCAGCTGAATGCCAGTCACAGAGCAGGTGCTCAAAAGAGGGTTGTTTTGAACCAAATCCCCAACATTTAATTCAGAGGTTGTTATGATCATAAGATGGGGTCTCCTATGGACTGAATGTTTATGTCCCCCTCATATGTTGAAGCCTAATCCCCAGTGTGATGGCATTTGCAGGCGGGGCCTTTGGGAGGTAGCTAGGTTTAAATGAGTTCGTGAGGCTAGAGCTCCCGTGATAGGATGAGTGTTCCTATAAGACGAGGAAGAGACCATATCTCTCTGCTATGTGAGGATACAGTGAGAAGGCAGCTTTCTGCAAACCAGAAAGAGACCCCTCCTCAAACACCAAATTAGCACCTTGATCTGGGACTTTCTTGCCTCCAGAACCTTCAGAAATAAATGTTTGCTGTTTAAGCTAGGATATTTTGTTACAACAGCCTGAGCTAACTAAACTAGGATCTTTGAAAGCAGCAGCTTTTGACATCAGCTTTTTCACATGCACTCATTAAAGATTTTTTAAAAAACCAAAAAAGATATTTTACCAAGTACTTCCCATGGGAACTATGGGACCAAGAAAGAGTCCGTCTCTGCTCTAAGGAGGAACCAACACAGTGTGAGAAATGACCAAGTACAGAAGTAATTATAACTCCAGACATAAAGTGATCTGTTCCACTTGAGCAATGCAGATGGAGCCCTTGGAAACTGCGGAGAAAAGGGATGGGTCACTGCTAAAATTAGTAGGGGAGGAAGCAGGAGGGGACAGCTTCCTGGAGAAAGTGGAGCATCTGAGCCAGGCCTAGAGGGATCGGGCGGATGTGCCTGTGCAGTAAGGAGACTGGGATGAGAGCAAAGAGCAGAGGCCGGCGGGCAGGAAGTGGGGGGAAGGAGAGGAGGTGTCTGGGGATAGTGACGAGTCCAGCCTTTTACACAGCAGCATTGCTGTACAATGAAGCTGGGAAGAAGCTCTGCTCTGGCCAAAGCGCTAATGCTAACGGTCCCCGCTACCTCGTCCTGCGCCCACCCCACCACCCCCAAGCTCCGTGGAGCTCAGGTTTAAAAACTGTAAGAACTGGAACATTTTGTATTTCTAGTCCTTTTCCCTGCCACCTGCAATAGATCCCCCAGTCCTACCCCTTTCACAAGGAGTGAGGGTGGACAGCTGGACAACCAGTGTGGCCTCCCAAGTGGCTGTGGGAAGGGCTAGGCTGTCTGCTCCCCTCACTCTCTTCCGCCCGCTGTGAAATCCACATCAGCTGGAGATGCCCAAGAGCTCTGTTCCCATCTGTTCTGGGCACGGCTGGTGAGAAAGCCTCAGGATTCAAGAGGCCGGCCCAGGGAGCGGGCAGGGTAAGAGCCCACCACACAGGCATGTTCAGCCAGTCCTGGGAACAGCTGCCCAGCCAAGGGCCAGGAGGCTCCCTGCTTCCCAGCCAAGGGCCAGGAGGCTCCCTGCTGCCCAGCCAAGGGCCAGGAGGCTCCCTGCTGCCCAGCCAAGGGCCAGGAGGCTCCCTGCTGCCCAGCAGCTCTCAAATCACCCATTTTGTAGCCTGGCTGCTAATGATGCAATCAAGTTCATCAGAAAGCATCTGTTCTGAATGATAGGCACACTGCTCTGAGAGAAGTATGGGTGTGCTCTGAGAGAGGCACATCAGAGTCGGGGGACTTGGGTGACTAAGCAACCAGGACTCTTGATGTTCCCATGAGCCTCAAAACTACCCCTTGGGATCTTATCCAACCATCTTGAACTAGACCAGCAAGTCTCCTCTGAGCCCTCAGCCAAGACCTCAGGACGGAAGCTCGTTCAGGGACGTGCAGCTCTTCACAAGCCCCAGGGCTCACTGCCACCAGAACCCCTTGTGAGCTCCCCACAGCAATGTGAGAATGGATGGGGGGCGGTGGGGGGGATATAGTTTCAGGCAAATACTAGAAGAGCAGCTGTTGTATTCAAGCACAGCTTCCGCCTAAAGTAGGGCTGGAGGCAAAGGTTCACATACAGGTGGTGTTGATTCAGGTGGTGACCCCAAGGAGCAGGAGTGAGTTACAGTTTAAGAGTGAAACCAGAAAGAGGGGAGAACCAATAAAAAGATGCATTCCTAATGCAGCTTCCACAGGAGAAACTAGTGCTCAATTCCTTGGGAACTTCTAAAGAACGTGTGGAACGCATCTGAGAACTGCCCACCCGACAGTGGAAAGAGGGAAGCATTTAGCCATAGGTTCCTGTCCTCTGTTGGTCAAGGGTAGCTCCGTGGGGGATAACCCTGCACAGTTCTAGGATGCAGAGTGATAAGTGTCAGTATCACAAGGCTGTGGTCCAGGACAGGAAGTGAGAGGTATGCGGTGTGGGCCCAGGTTAAGGTGCTGCCACTGCACATCTGTGAAGCTGCTCAAAGCATGTGACCCCCTGGGTTCTGTATTCTGGCTGGAGTAAGAGGCAGTCTGAAGAGGAGCTTTCCAGAAAGCTTTGGAGTGTTGTGTCTGCTTCTACCATGTCTCTCCCTGGAGTCCAGGGCACAGGCTAAGCCTGCTTGAGGCCTGCTGCTTGCCAAAATCTGTATTAGTTTCTGATTGCTGCTCTAAGAAATTACCAGAAAATCAGTGGCTTCAAACAATATTAGTATATTATTATTCTACAGTACTGGGGTCAGAAGTCCAATACAGGTCTCACTGCGCTAAAATCAAGGTATTGGCCAGGCGGTATTTCCTTTCTGGAGGATCCAGGAGAGAATCTGTTTTATTGCCTTTTCCAGCGTCTAGAAGCTGCCTGCATTTCTTGGTTTGTGGCCCCTTTCTCTATCTTCAAAGCCAGCAATGACCACTTGAGTCTTTCTCACATTACATCACTCTGCCTCTTCTGCCTCCCTCTTTTATTATAAGGACCCTTGTGATTACACTGGGCCACCTTAATAATCCAGGATAGTTTCCCCATCTCGAGGTCAGCTGATTAGCCAACTTAATTCTTCCTGCAACCTTAATTCCTTTTTGCCAATAACATAACATAACATATTCATTGGTTGTAGGGATTAGGATGTGGATGTCTTTGAGTTACCATTATTCTGCCTGCCACAGATACTGTCCTGCCTTTCTTTGAAAAGAAGAGCTCATGATTTACAAGGTTAATCAGGGCTGACTTTTTACACTGTCCTTGGAGCCAGGAAGGGAGAACCTGCTTGTCCCTGAAACTGTCCCTAGGATCCCACATGATCCTGGCACAGCAGCCTGCTCTGTCAAGGACAACTAAGCTCAGTAAAGCTCCAGGTCAGCTTGGGCATCATGGGAAGAGCCTGAGCTTCACAGACAGAGGGACTGAGCTCCTACCCCAACTCACCGACTAGCTAGTGGTGAGACCTAGAGCAGGTCACTCAACCTTTCTGAGCCTCCATACTCCCATCTGTACAGCAAGGCTAATGCCCTAGGGGGCAGTCAGGATTAGAAATCATTTTTTCTACCATTAAAAAAAAATTATTGAAGTCTCACTATGTGACTGGCACAAGGCTAACTCCTGGCAGAAGGCTAACTCCCTGCTCTCATCAAGCTTGGATTTTAGTTGGGTCTAACATGTGGGAAGTCCTTAGATAGCCTGGGAACACAGGTACGCAATAAATTGAAAACATCTTTTGAGCTCTCAAGCCTGCAATTATCAAGAAAATAATATTATGTTTTAGTTACTTATTGATTTATAACATACAAAACTAAGCATAACCCCTATTCGACTTGATCCTCACAACAATAATCCAGGGATGGGGCAGAGAGCAGCCCTTCCATGGTTCCTCTTGCACCCACAGTGAAACCCTGTGCCTAATGCAAGCACCCTCAGTCATGCAGGGCAGGTCACCTCCTGTTCCGTTTCCATCCTTTCGGGTTAAGGGTAAGAAACCAAAAACTAAAAAAAAAAAAAAAAAAATTAAATGGCTCTTCTCTAGCACTGCAGATGCAGTAACATATTTATACTATGCTCTCACCTGGTATAAATGTTTTGACCATATTCGGGGGTGGTGGAGGGTGAGGAGAATGTTTGCGCTTCTCTTTTTGCAGTTAGCCCAGGTTGTTAGCTGCATGTTCTCTTGTCTCTCTCTCCCACAAAGCTGTGAACTCATCGCCTAGGGACAGCGGGTCTTAGGAGGCCCCCATAGCAAGACCCAGGGAGGAACTTTGCAATTATTTAGCAGCTCTTGGGAAGCACTTGCTAAATCCAACCCCCTCACCCATCCCAGTCGCTTGGTGGAGGAGACCCCTACAGAGTCCCGGCCAGAAGTCTCAGATGGCTATCCCATGCAAGACAGTCTCTCGAGGGCTCCATTGTTATACTCAAGTTGGCAGGAATAAGCTTCAGCCAGCTGGCCCGAGGATCCAAGTGATACCAGCTGGTCCCCAACCTACAGAGTGATCATGAGCATGTCTGTGAACTGGTATCTGACAGTTCGCTGTTCCCCATCTCCAGTTCCTGGAAGGGAAGCTACAACCTAACGGTGCCAAGGAGGGGTGGCTTGATGTGGAAGGCGGTTGTCCCTCACTGTCCCGATTACCCACCGCGTGCCTCTGCCTCCCTTTCCCACACTCTGCTGCTTTGCTACCGTGGTGCCGGTGCTCAGTTTGTCAGGCCTCCCAGGCTCAGCAGGCAGGATGCCGTAATTCTCAAGAATAAAGAAAACATTTTAGAGTCTGACAAGCCCAACATTTGCATGTCTGTTTTCAGAGAAATACCCATGTTGGGGGATTAATCCTCTTTCTTCTGCCCCCCTCCCATCCAGCCCAAAGTAGGAAAACATTCTTGACATAGTTGCCTGAAAAGGATTTCTAAAGAGAAAAATACTGCCCATGCCCTGTGATTTCAGGCACTTAGTGTGAAAAGCACCCAGAGGAAGGTGATAGGGTAAAGAACAGAAAAGAAAATATCCTCTTTAGTCAAATAGATTGTTGATCTTAAAGTGGACGGTGCATTAGCTTTGTCTCTAGTCTCCAGAAATAGACATGTTGGTGCTCTACTTAAAAAGGCATGATTTCTGCACTAAGAGCCGAGCCTGTGCTCCCCTAGGCTGTGGATTGGAGGATAGTAAATGGGGAAAGGGGCAAAAGCCCAAGGCCCAGAGAGGCACTCGGCAGAGGAGAGAAACACAGGGTTTATCTCTTGGAGCATTTTACACTAGGACTTAGGCTTATCCAGATGCTAAGAGACTCTGAATTTGGAAGAGAAAAAATACATTTTACCTCATATTTGGGAAGGCCTGCTTCCCAAAGGTCTGCCTCACTCTTGGGGAGGTCCTCTCTGATCTGCTCTGAGCATTAAAAGTAAATTTATGAAAGAATTCCTGGAGAAAAGCCAACTAGGGCGACTTGTTCTGAATCATTAAAGTTTCTGTCTTAAAAGATGATTTCCACAAAGGCCGACTCTATTCTCGTCTCTCAGGTTGGGAAGCTGATGAACTTGTAAGCAGTAAGGGCCCTCTGATGAGATGAACTTTGCTCCCATTGTTCCAAAGAAAGCGAACCTGTGCCCAGGAAGGCGATTGAGGATGGAGGGGCTGGTCCAGGCAGATGTAGCAAAAGGCAATTTTAAAGTTCTTAAGACAATGTGGGCATGCCCAAGATCACAGCCATGCACCCATGCATCCATTCAACAACTGAATGTTTGTGTTGGCCAGAGCCCTGTATTAAATGGCGATTCCCTTCAACCTCGAGAGGGCACGTAAGCCCACAAAGTCCTGGAAAGGAGATACGATGGGAAGCGCAGGAAATTCAGAGAGCCCACGGTGAGTGTGAGTGGACTGACCACGGTGGAGCCATGAAAGCATCTCAATACCAACCCCAGAGGCAAGGCCCAGTGCGTGGTGGTGAAGACAGGTGGTCCAGGACAGCCTGGATGCTCAGAGAACTTCCTGTGGGCCAAGCCCAAAATGGCACAGGCTGAGGCAGCACATCCTGCGTGTCCATCAGGAGAGCAGTTTCCAAGTGGAGCCATGGGGAAGGAGCCAACAGGAAAGGACCCTCTTCTCTGAGGAGCTAGGGACATGGGGAGAGCTCTCCACCTGAGCCTGGGCCAAGAGGAGGGAACGCCTGGCAGGACCCAGTGCCCAGAACAAAGGAGCTTGTGTCAGGGCCTCTGGGATAGGGACCAGGGGAGGCCAGCGGCGTGAGGCCCAGGTGAGACTTGCACTGCACAGTGATCATCTGGACATGCTCTCAAGCACCACAAAGAATTGTCGCCTGATTGCTGGAAAGCAGAGGGCCGGGCTGGGGCAGACCCGAAAGGGGAACCTTGAGAAAAGAAATGGAGGGAGGCAGGAAAACTTTCTTTGCAACAATGGTAGCAAAGTTCATCTCATCGGAAGGGCCTTGTTGCTTACAAGGTCATCAGCTTCCCAACCTAAGAGATGGGGATAGACCTGGCCTTTGTGGAAATCATCTCTTAAGACAGAATCATCAAAAATTCACTCTAGTTGGCCTTTCTCCAGGAATCCCCACACAAATTAACTTTATATGCTCAGAGCCAGTCAGAGAGGACCTCCCCAAGAGCGAGGCAGATGTTTGGGAAGTGAAACCAGAGACTTTGCCTTAAAGGGGACACATTCCCTCCTGCTCCCCACTAATCCTAGAGTCTGCAATAAGCTGTCTGAGATAAGAGGGGCGAAGAAACCAGCCAGAGAAGAGATGCAAAATTCCTTAAAGTTCTTGATCTGTAGTTCTTATCCCAAACGTGTGGCAAAAAAAGAAAGCTACCCACCACCTTTATGCCTTTCTCCCAGTAAAAGACTAATTTCAGCTGGGCAGGGTGGCTCAAGCCTGTAATCCCAGCACTTTGGGAAGCTGAGGTGGGCGGATTGCCTGAGGTCAGGAGATCGAAACCAGCCTGGCTAACATGGTGAAACCCCGTCTCTACTAAAAATACAAAAATTAGGGCATGGTGGCGCACACCTGCAGTCCCAGCTACTCAGGAGGCTGAGGCAGGAGAATCACTTCAACCTGGGAGGCGGAGGTTGCAGTGAGCCGAGATTGCGTCACTTCACTCCAGCCTGGGAGACAGAGTGAAACTCCGTCCCAAAATGAATAAATTAATTAATTAAAATAAAATAAGACTAATTTCAAAAATCCCTCTTAGGTACACAGCAGAGTATAGCATACAAAATGCATTTGGCCCTCTCACCCTGGGTTTCATTCTGCGATTTCCCTATAAGCATTTAGATTTCCTTCTGCATGACCCAAGCTAAGACTGGAAGGGAAGCTTGCCATCAGCTGACAGTGAGGAGTGGCAGGTAGACAGGCCTTAGGAGAAGGGGGAGGTCAGTGTCTTGGGACGTCCGGCCCCAATTCTGACCCCCAAAAGGAGAGCATCAAGGCCCAGAAGCATTCAAGCAGAGGTGAAAGCACACCCCACACCAGCAGCATCTGCCTCACTGCCACCCCCAACCCCAACTTAACCACCCGGTTCTGCTCGGGGCTGAACTGATTAGTCATTCATAATGCTTAAGTCATTAATTCAGGAAGGAAGCCACGCTAGCTGCCTCTTCTCACTGGGAGTTTGCTGCCGTTGCAAAACAGATGAGTAATCAGACATTCCGGGAGCCCTCGTTAAGCCCATTGCCAAGAAAGGTGTCTTGCAGCTCATTTGCTGCGGGGGAAGCCACGCTACAGGCCCTGAGTCACGCTGGATCCAGGGGAGGGCAAGGCCAAACTTGCTGGAGTGCAACATTGCATCACCGAGATCTGCGACGGAGAGGCTTACCCAGCCACCGAGCTCCACTGACCTCACCCACAGCCCCAGCTGGGGCTGACCCTCTGTGGGCTGCTCCGCTGCTTCTGGGGTTCGGGGAGGCTCAAGGGGTCAGAGACAGACATCCTGGGAGGGACACCCGGTACTAGATGGAGTCTTATGTCCCTATATGACAGGTGCTAAAACTGAGGCCCACAAAGGCAGTGACACTTGCCTAGAGTCAAACCTAATTCAAACAGATTTAGGATAGAATTTCATCTCAGTTTTTTTGTCCCCAGCAATTTTCACTGCACCAAATTACATCAATAGGTAATGCAGGTAATGTTAAAGGCTAGACTGTGAATGGCAACGTAGTAAAAACTACCCGACGTCCAGCAGCAGCAAGTACTTTAGAAAATTGTGGTCAAATAAAATGAAATGCTAACCATCCATCTAAAAAAGATTGTTACCACTTTACATTCTGATATGGAGCTGTCTCCAGGATACGCTTTTTATTGCTGTTGTTGTTGTTGTTTGTTTTCTTTCTTTTTTTTTTTTCTTTTGAGATGGAGTTTTGCTCTTGTCACCCAGGCTGGAGTGCAATGGCGTGATCTTGGCTCACTGCAACCTCCGCTTCCCGGGTTCAAGCTATTCTCTGCCTCAGCCTCCCGAGTAGCTGTGATTACAGGCGTGCTCCACCACGCCCAGCTAATTTTTGTATTTTTAGTAGAGATGGGGTTTCGCCATGTTGGCCAGGCTGGTCTCGAACTCCTGACCTCAGGTGATCCACCTGCCTCAGCCTCCCAAAATGCTCTTAAATGGTTTTTAAGAGCAAGAAAGCAACTTATGGAGACAGTACGTATGGTGCACTACTGTGTGAAGGAGGGACACACACACACTCCATAACACCTAGTGTTCCAAAGGAGTGCAAGGGCTGGCACTAGCCATGCGAGTTATTATCAGAGTGCATTTTCCAACCCGTGCCCTGAGTCGAGCTTCCATGAGTGCCTCTAACTTGTGGCCACTGAGCCTGGCCAGCCCCGTTTCCCTGTACCCCTCCTCCACCCCAGTGCATCTCCATGCCTGAGTGTCCAGGTGCTCAGGAACCTCTGCGCAGGCAAAGCTCTGGGAGAGGCCCCTTGGTACCCCCTACTCCCCCTTCCCCTAGTGTCAGACAATGGAGGCCCAGCTTCGAAGCTTGCCTGAGGTCACAAACGGACAGCCCCAGAAAGAAAATGCTTCATGCCTCCGTGTCTTAAAGCTTTCATTCTTTGTGAGTTGTCTGTTCACACATAAAGACCCCTGAGAGGAATCACACCTTGAGCTCAATCAGCCACCACCTCATTATTTACCCACCAGCCTCTCCTTGGGTATTAACTCACACCCAGGGAACAGCAAAGATCTCAGGAGAGGGCCTGATTGCTCACCCACCCTCCAGATGGCTTCAGGGCACAAACTGCTCCCCAGCTCCTACTCCAACCCCAGGGAGGAGGGGCCATCTGAGCTGTATCTGGTCGACCTGTGGTGAGAACAGAGCCTCTGGGTAGGACTGAGTCCTTCCACCATCCCATGAGTCACCTAGAAAAGTTGCTTCAGGAACTCCTAATATCATTTTTCACCTCCCAAGGAGTTCACATCTATGCACACGTTTCCATCTTACAGACCAGGAAACAGGCTCAGAGAGAAGAAGGGAATTATGTACCTCGGTTTAGAGCCAAAGTGTCCTGCCTGCATTCCAGCTGTTTCCATCCATGTCCATGTCAACTGGCATCTGGAACTACTCGTAGCAGCATCCACTCAATGTGAGTTGACTAAATGGAGGAAAATCTACTATGGTGCTTGGAAAAACTGGGACTCTCATGATTTAGGATATAAAGATTTGTCGTCTGTCTGAATGGAAGAAAGAACAGGGCAGTGCTGTGGGGACACTAGGACGTCCTAAGGAAACACACTCACTAATTTAGGGTAATCAATCAGGTAATACTATTTATGGGCTATTAATGATACATGAGGATCACACTCGGCCCAAGTTCTTTGCTTTGTTTCACTCTCTTGCTCTGACACCCTCTCCTAAGTTTCAAGGCTTTTCCCTCCCACCACCCCTCCCAGCCATATCACCACCACCATATTTTAATTCCCCATTTTTCTTTTTTTCTTTCTTTTTTTTTTTTTTTTTTTGAGACAGAGTCTTCCTCTGTCACCCAGGCTGGAGTGCAATGGCACGATCTTGGCTCACTGCAACCTCCGCCTCCTGGATTCAAGTGATTTTCCTGCCTCAGCCTCCTGAGTAGCAGGGATTACCGGCACGCACCACCATGCCTGGCTATTTTTTTTTTTCTGGTTTTTTTTTTTTTTTTTTTTTTTTTTTTGTAGAGGCAGGGTTTCATTCAGCATGTTGGCCAGGCTGGTCTTGAACGCCTGACCTCAGGTGATCTGCCCACCTCGGCCTCCCAAAGTGCTGGGATTACAGTCACTGTGCCAGGCCCTTATTCCCCATTTTTCTGTCCACCCTCCCTTTGTCACCATCGCAAACGTCTCCCAGGACGGACTGGGCTTGCCTTCATATTGACCACGCATGTTTATGCTGGGACACTCTTTCCTTTTTGAGGTTCTTCCCTCTTATTGATGTGCTTATTAATTAATCAGATGTTTACTGAACACCTGCATGCAAGACCCTTTCCTAGCGTCACTGCGTATGAATAATCATTGAAAATTACACAGAGTTTGGTATATGTCTCGTAAGAACTAAAGAGGAAAAGTTACTCTATAGAATCCTAAAATGAAATAACTTCTAAGCAACAAGATAGCAGTAAAAAGCTTGAGTTTTTATTAATGTATTATTATTATTTATTAATTATATTCCTCTGTCTGAAATCTTCCCTCAGTCACCAGGGTGGAATCGATAAATGGCAACATTTTCCTCTCTGATGTTTTTTAACTGCATTAAAAGGCATGGAGTTTTAATTTCACATGCATTTGTTTCTGGGTCTTGGGTCGTTTTTTTTTTTTTTCTTCTTCCTCAAAGCAGATAAATGAGGTTCCAAACTTCAGATAATAAGGCTTAACAGTGAGGCGCTTTTTAAAAAGTGAATCATTTCTCAGTTCTCCTTTGCTAACCTCTCTTGGTAACATTAATTATGAGTTTGTGCACTGTGCCCCAAGGCGAGCTCGGCTTTCCCAGGACAATTAAAGTTACTTAATTATTAAAAACTGTGTGTGCTGCTGCCCAGAGAGAAAGAGGCGGCCAGGCCTGGCTCCCGCAGCCCCTCACAGGAGTGACTGGACACTGTGGGAACCGGCCCCTTTCCCTCACCATTGTCATTCTTTCAGTATAATCTATGAAAATCCCCCCCACCGCCGCGGCCTCTCCCACCTCTGCATGAGTGATTTAGAGACTGCCCACCACTGAGTCCAGCCTGCCGGCTAGTCCTTGTCCTGGGGTGAAAGAGGGGCCCTTGAGCCTGGAGGCGGAGGGAGATGACCAGGCCTCTGCCTAGGGCTCTCGGGTGGAGCAAGGGCCTTGGAAAATGCTGAACCCCTGGGTTGCTGGGTTGCTGTTGGGCCCATCCTTCCTCAGGCTTTCTGCCCCATGGGAGCAGGACGGGCTGCACAGAAATGTCATAATGTACCCTTAAAGGGGGTGGGAGGGGAGGAGGGTTGATGTGGCCCTTCGAGTGGGCATTTCCAAGAGTGGATGCCAATCTGTAACAGCATTTTTTTCTGGGTGGTTCTTTGATCACAGGAGTGAAAAAACTATAGGTGGCCCTGGTTCTGCCATCCACACCCAAAGTGACCTTGGGCAAGTCATTCCTGCATTGGGAAGCTTGGCTTCGTAGTGAGAGGCAGCCTAGGAGCTTTAGGAGCCTCTAAGTCCTGGTACTTAGATGGAGTCTAATGCTTTCCCGGAAAGAAAACCTCGAATTTTCCATTTCTTTTTCTACTTTCCTTCATTCACCCGGCGAGCACCGACTCTGTGCACCATGTCGTAGGGACAGAGGCGTGGACACAGCAGAAGCCCTGAAGGCCACAGCCTCTACTCCTATTGATTGTCTTGCACACAAGAGGAAATGAGGCTGAGAAGGAAGGGGGCTGGTCCTGGGATCCCCCTGCGTGGCAGTGTGAGGCAGGCGGGGACCTAGTCCTCCCAACAGCCGGCCTGCTGAGCATGGCCAGGCCACCGCTGCCGCCTCCTTCCTGGTTTTCTGTCTTCTCCCTTCCTGCTCTGTTTAACCCCTCCCACAGTCAGCTCATCCCTGGGCTCCAAGTCTCTAGGGAAATATGGTCCAATAGAAATATGCTGGCCACAGGCCGGGCGCAGTGGCTCATGCCTGTAATCTCAGCACTTTGGGAGGCTGAGGCAGGTGGATCACAAGGTCAGGAGTTCAAGACCAGCCTGGCCAAGATGGTGAAACCCCGTCTCTACTAAAAATACAAAAATTAGCCAGGCATGATGGCATGTGCCTGTAATCTCAGCTACTCGAGAGGCTGAGGCAGGAAAATTGCTTGAACTGGGGAGGCAAATGTTGCAGTGAGCTGAAATCGCAGCCACTGCACTCCAGCCTGGGTGACAGAGTGAGACTCCGTCTCAGAAAAGAAATATGCTGGCCAGAAATGCAAGCCACATGGGCGTTTTGCATTTCCTACTGGCCACATTTAAAACAAATGAAATAGGAACATGTGAAATTCATTTCAATGATATATTTTATTTAACCAATATATTCCAAATATTATCATTCCAACTTGTAATAATATAACAATTATTAATTAATAAGATATTTTATATTTTTGAACTAAATCTTCAAAACCCAGTGCCTATTTTGCCTTTAGGGCATGACTCCATTCAGTTAGCCTTTTTTTTTTTTTTGAGACAGAGTTTTGCTCTGTCCCCCAGGCTGGAGTGCAATGGTGTGATATTGGCTCACTGCAACCTCCGTCTCCTAGGTTCAAGCAATTCCTGCCTCAGCCTCCCGAGTAGCTGGGACTACAGGTGCACGCCACCACACCCAGCTAATTTTTGTATTTTTAGTAGAGACAGGGTTTCACCATGTTGCCCAGGCTGGTCTTTAACTCCTGGCCTCAGGTGATCCACCCCCTTTTATCTCCCAAAGTACTGGGAATACAGGTGTGAGCCACCACACCCAGCCTGGTTAGCCACATTTTAAGTGCTCAGTAGCCTTATGGAGACAGGTGTTACTGTACTGGATAGTGCAGGCCTCGGGTTTTTGGCATCTCTAACTATCACTCCTCAATACTCTTCACTTCGTACAGGAACAAAAGGTTCCCATAAAATGTTCCTTAGACATATGAAACATTGACACCATGGAATACTATGTAGCCAAACACCAAAAAACCAAGGACACTCTTTTATGGACCCATAGAAAGAGCGCCAAGACATATCATAAAGTGAAAAAGGCAAGATACAAACAGGGTATATGGAATTCTACCACTGCAGGAAATACGCATATTTGGCGGTACATGCACCGACTATCTGTAGGATTCTTAAGAAACTGAGAACATTGGCAGGGGAAACTGGATGGATGGAGGGCAGGTTGGGAGGAAGACTTTTCATAGCATGTAGTTTACACTTTTTGAATTGTGAATATGTGGATGTATCACTCAAAAATTAAAATCAGAACTTCAGTTAATGGGCACACCTTGGCATGTGTAGCCTGCCCAGGCACCTCTGTTCCTGCTCGGTGCTTGCCCTGGCTCCCCAGCAGTGCCCCAGGAGGAGCAGGCACAGGTCAGGTCGCTGTTGTGCCTGCTGTTCCACAGTAGGAAGAGGGAGGCTTGGCAGAGGCCCAGACAGGAAGACATGATATCAAGTGACTCTAAAGGGCCCTTTTGTTTCCGGAAAGGCAGCAGTTTCCACACAGCATCCCTGCCCCCACTGACAGCCCACTGGCCCTGGGATCCCTTTGCCACCTGCTGCAAGAGCATCATTTCTCCCCCGGAAGAGCCTCTGGGCCTGAGGTGGGGAGGAGAGGGGAGCACTGGCTGGGAAGGGGCATCATTCTAGCTTCCCAAAGGATGTCAGTTGTTCCCAGAATGTCATTTCCAGAGGCATGATGCCACCCTGCCAGCTGTCCTCCAAATTTTGGCATCCCCAGCCTGCCTGTGGCAGAGCAATCTCACTAAGAAAATAGAGCACGAGCACGTGTGCATGTGTGTGTCCCCCTGTGAGCATCTGCGGCCCGTGCACTGGCATGCATTCACTCCATTCATTAACTCCTTCGGAAGACGTTCACTGAGCACCTACTATATTCCAGTCACTGTGCTACGCCCTTGGGATACAGCCAGGAGCAAGACGGTAGAGGTCCTGCCCTCATAGAGCTTATAGTCCAGCAGGATAAATTGACATTAAATTTTAAATAATTCAGTCCCACCCGTAGGGATAAGTGGAAGGAAAAGTACATGCAATTGGGGCACACGATCTAGTGTAAGAGGCCAGGGAAGGTGGAGCAAAGGAACTGGCGTTTGAGACTAAGAAATGTATCAATCGGCCGAGTGCAGTGGCTCACACCTGTAATCCCAGCACTTTGGGAGGCCCAGGCCGGTGGATCACCTGAGGTCAGGAGTTCGAGGCCAGCCTGGCCAGCATGGTGAAACCCTGTCCCTACTAAAAATATGAAAATTAGCCAGGCGTGGTGGCATGCGCCTGTAATCCCAGCTACTCAGGAGGCTGAGGCAGAAGAATCACTTGAGCCCAGGAGGCGGAGGTTGCAGTGAACCGAGATCACGCCACTGCACTCCGGCCTGAGCAACAAGAGCAAACCTCCATCTCAAAAAAAAAAAAAGAAATATATCAATCTAGAGATGGTAAGAAGTGACAAGTGGGCCTTCCACAGACAAGGAACCTGCTCCATGTCCTTGAATAAACCACACCCCCTTAACATTGTTTTATTTGGAAATACATTTTACATTTCAAAAAATTACAAAAATAAAAATAGTACAAAGAACACCTGTATATTTTTTACCCAGATGATTCACTGTTGCTCCCATTTTACCCCATTTGCTTTATCCATCGTGTGTGCCTGCATGCACTCTCCCACTCCACACACATACAGAATTCTTTTCTGAAGAATTTGAGGGTACATTTCACACAGCATAGCCCTTTAGTGCTAAATACTCAGAATCAGATGCCCTTTCCAAGCTCAGTTTGCTCAGTTAGAGCACAAAAAGGATAAGCCCTGTCCTCTCCACCTACCAGGGCAGCTGCAAAGAGCACATGAGATCCTGCACAAGCAAACTCTTGGACACACAGCAAAACTATTATCTTTTTTGGAAGCACTTCTTGGAATTTGGAAATGAAAGGTGATTTCCCAGAGAAATGCCCAGGTTCTCAGTTCCTCCAGGAGACAGCATGTTCTTCAGCCAGGCCTGGTGTGTGTGTGTGTGTGTGTGTGTGGTGTGTGTGTGTAGGTCAGCAGCGTTCCCCTGCAGCCCCTCCTCTCCATCAGGCAGCCAGGGCAGACTTGAGCTCTGGTGAGCACCTTTCTGGCTGATGAGCTCCCCTGGCTCCAGGGAAGCCTTGGGAGGGCAACCGTGGCTTGAAAACAATGCTCATCCGCCCCTGGGAAGGGCTCCTTCTCCTTGATGAAATGGAACCGAGCCAGCACGGAAACCCAGACCTGCATTCAGGGAGCCCACAAATACTCACAGAGCACAATAAACAAGTGTTGGTCCTCTCAGCACGTTTTGGGACCCATCTCCTTAATGAGAACAATAAATTCACACGAGGAAAGGTGGTCGCCAAGCAAAAGCGACTGACACACTCCCCCGGCTTCCTTGGCCCCGGGGGACTACCCCCTCTGAGCGTGGGACCTGCAGAATCAATAACTGGAAGGGACAAGGGCCAGACCTACGGAGTCAGAACTTCTGGGCTCAGAGCCTAGGAATGTGTATTTTTAAAGGCTTCCTGGAGGACAATCAGGTTTAGCAACCACTGGCCTAAAAACCCTGTGAGATCACTCCTAGCGCTGAAATACTCTGGTCCTGTGAATAGGAAAATGGATCTAAAGGTAGAAGATACACAGACACAGTTAAATAGGGGTGCATTCATCCCTGGACCCCAAAAAGGCACTTGATCATAGTTTCCGCAGAGCTGAAATCTTAAGCCCTTTGCTGGCAGCCTGTGAATCCTGGAAGGGAAACGTGTACAGCCAAGCCTCAGCATGGGTGCAAGGATGTCTTCCAGCTCCTCTCCCTCCTTAGTTTGTCAAAACCATCCCTGATGTACAGATTCTGTCCCCAGACTGCAAGTTCTCCCTGGGTTGGGGAGAAGAGGTGGAGGAGAATCAGGGAGGCAGCCACAGTCTGCTCTAGCTGCATTGACAAGAACTGGTTGCTGGCTGGTGTGGGCCAGCTCAGAGGAGCACAGCTGTGAGCAAGGCCAGGTGCAGTCGGCCTGAGTGAGCCCAGAGGGGCCAGCTGTCCGGCCCAAGCTAGGGAGCAGTGCTCACTGACCACAGGGCAGTGGGGACTCTGTTCTCTGTGTGGCTGGCTTCTTTTCTTTTTTTTTTTTTCCTCAAGTGACCCACACCCCTCAATGGGTCACTCTGCCTCTCACTGGAGGTTTCTTCTTGAGTTTCTAGGCAAACACTGGGGCTCTGGGGCCCTGCAACCTTATCCCTCCCATCGTTAAACTGTGTGAGAGTTCCAGGGAGCCAAAATCTGGGTGTGCCTCCTCCCCTGCCCCAGCACTCAGCATTGTCCCAGGCAGACAGCAGGCACTAAGGAAATGACGGAGAGAGGGACGCAGGAATGGAAGGGAAAGGAGAAGAAAGAGGAGAGGAAGGGAGGGAGAAAGGAATGAAGGCTGCAATACAGCTGCAGGAAAACCCCGTTCTTATTCGACCCACTGCATCAGATTTCTCCCCAGGGCCTCTTCCAGGAAAGCTCCTTTGGTGAAACCCGGTTCATAACTACTTCCCCTCCCTCTCACCATCACGCTAGGACTTCTCTTGTGAGGGAAGAGTGTGACTAAACTAAAAGCGTGAACTAAATGGACTTTACAAATGGTTTTCCAGACGTCAGAAGCCACCCACCTTGCACACAGAAGGAATAACTGACAGATTGAAAGAACTGGCATCTCTGAATGTCCAAATCTGTCCTATTCTTCAAGATCCAGAGGCAAGAGCTACCACCTCAGTGAAGTCTTCCCGGATTTCTCTAACAGGAGGTGATCTCTCCTCCTCTAAAACTACACAACACGCTATCCATCCTTCTTTGACTGATAAGCTGCAGTTTTTCTGCCTTATGATACAGCCATTTTGTGAACATGAAAAGGGCGACACCAAGGAAATAGCAAAAGCTTGGCAGTCAGACTTTCCCAAGGTTAAATCCCACCTCTCCCTCTTGCCAGCTGTGTGAGTGTGGAGGAGTTGCTTATCCTCAGTTTCTTCGTGTATCAAATCAGGATAATAACCACATGGCAAGTTTGTTGTAGGGATTACAATGGGATAGAGATTAGTGGGGTTCACATCATTCCCATATTTCCTTTCCCATCCCAGGGAAGAATTACACTTCTCTGTCCCGCTTGAAGTTAGGTATGTCCATGTGACATCCTCTGGCCAATGACATGTGAGCAGAAGTCACGAGTGTCCCCTCCGGGCAGAAGCGTTTCAGAGTTGGTGCACATTTCCTGTGCTCTCTTCCCTGGCCGCAGCAACAGCCAGGAAAGAGAACAGCTCCCGTGTTGAGAAGGTGGCATCGTCAGATGGTACAGCACCCTTCGGATTGGCAGCCATCAGCACATCCCTCTGCCGAAGAGCTGTCCAGAGGATGTAACATCAGTGAGAGACAAATGCCTGTTGCCTCCAGCCACTGAGATTCTGAGGTTGTTTGTTACCACAGCATTACCTAACCTATTCTAATACAAGACAAGATGTATGCGGGACCCTTAGCATGGCTCCGATACATAGTAAGTACTTGATAAATATGCCATGACTGAAGAAATAGTCAAACAAATCTGTGAACAAATGAATAGACTAGTAAATATGTCCAAACTGGAGCTGTGCTCCCTCAGGAAGGTCTGGACAAGTCTCCTGGCACCTTCGAGGTGAATGTAAATGCCTTATTCATGTGCCACTGGTGGCCATGTTACACCTGAACAGTAGGGATGGCTGTCCTTTATGACTTTTCTCCCTGCTTATCCAGGAATGCAATGTCACCCATGCAAGCCCCACACTTCTCCCTGGACTCCACCTCTCCCTGCCACCTGTAACTGAGGATTCCGGGAGTTGGGGCTCTCGGTTCTGGTGTGTTTGCCATCAGGAGAGTCACACTCCCAGCAAAGTGATGCTGGAGGATCCCTTGAGCCTCCCCACCACCCACCGCCCACAAGGCACGGTCCAGAGAGAAGGGGCTGGGGAGCGGGAATCAGAGGCAACTAGTTGCTGTTCTTCTCCAGTCCTGGAAACTGAGGGGCCTTCACAGGAAGCTACTTCACACAACTCAGACCCATCCAGTTGAAAATAGACAGGCCTCAGCCCAGAAGGGAGCTGAAAACGGCCATGAGCAACCCCTGTAGAGTGCACAGGGGTTTGTAGCTTTACCATGTATTGTTTTCATATCCAGTGCCTGCTGTGGTCCCAACAGCAACTCGATGAAGTTGCCTGGATTGGAATCATGATTGCCCCATTTTACAAAAAAAAGAAACTAAGGCTGGGATAGGGAGATGAATTCTTCAAGACACTCCGTAGTGTCTAGAGGAGCTGGACTCAGTCATTGCTATCAGGAGCTGGCCTGAGTCTTCCCTCTGCCCACCGAAGGAGGGGCTGACAGCCCTTTTTTTATTTTTTCACATCAAGGACATCCTTTTTCTTCTGGCAGATACCTACTGCTTGATGAAGCAGGCGTATGGTGTGTTCACCAACAATCTTTAAAGACTGCTCCCCATAACTATAAAAGCAATAAAAAGGAGAGAGAGGGAGGAAGGAGAGAAACCAACACATCACCCAGGGGAAGAAGGGAGAGAGAAAAGCCTTCTTCTGAAGGACTAAGGTCCTGGCCCCACTGCAATGCGGGGTGTGTGCATCAGAGGTAGCCAGCAGCAAGGCACCGGGCATGTGATCAGAGTCACTGCTGAGTGGACCTGAGGCCAGAGCTGGGAACTAGCAAGGGCCAAGTCCAAAAGCAAAGGCGAAATGGAGCTGGGAGAGTAAGCGCCAGGTCAGGTGGTGGGGAGGAGGATGCTGAGGACAGGTCCGGAAAGCCTGGGGGTGCCGGAGTCCCCATTCTGTGGTGTTTTTGCAGGTTTGAGGACAGGTGTGGTGGCCACAGGGGACCTGCAGGGCGAGGTGTAGTTTCCTCTTCTGGCCGATGAAGTGGTTGACCCTGGGTTTCTCTGCTTGCCCCCAGCTCTGACGTTGAGATGGTTTTTCATGAACCGAAAGCTTTTCGATTCTCAATCTCTAGACCACTGAGAGCTGTGTCACATCCAGACTCAGAGCTAACCAGCAAGCACAGGAGATACCACTGCGCTCTCCCCTTCATACCTCACGACCCAACCAGGAGAGCAGTTCATGCCTGCCGTACCGATGGGGAAACTGAGGCTTTAAGAGGCGAAGGTACTTCCCTAAGTACCACAACTAGGAAGTGGAGAAATTTGAATGCACTCCTAGCTGACTGCAAACTTCAGGTTATTTCTACTGCATGAAGCTGCTTCCTAAGTTCAGAGTAAAGATCCACCCAGGGTCACAGTCCCCTGGGGCCATTTTTCAGAAAGTTGGCCACCTACATCAATGAACTAAAAAGGAGCAGTGATAAGGCTCCATCTCTTTCCTTTCCTTTGCCCAAAGAGAATGAGCACTCATACCAACAGCAGTAGTGCAGAAAGCCATTTGCCCCCGTGTCCTTTACAGAGACAAACAGATAACCCTTATTTGCAAGCTGGGTAAAATATTAACTCAGCACCCAAGGGCGCTGTCCAATACAAGCAAGACAAAGTCCTTGGCTTTAGTTTGGGAGCTCAGAACTAAGCATCCACCCTCAGGCTGTCCTCCCACACCCCCAGGTGCAGGGTCCCCTTCCCTCACCATTACAGCATTGCAAGAAGGCAGCACAATGCCTCCGCAGCCTGGAGAAGCAAGGGAGAGCACAGTCCTCACATCCAACTAAAGGTTCCCTAAGGTGCAGGGCTGTGTTTGCACCCTCTGCCTGCTCAGACAGCCATTCCAGGAAGTGATTTTGCTTCTGCATGTACTCCTATGGGTGCCACCCACCCTCACTTTTGGTCTCACCCACTGTGACCCGGCAGAGACTCCACATCATGATGGCTTTCAAGAGGTACAGCTCCCACTCTCCTGGCTGGCTCAGGAAGGGAGTGGCCTCTCCCAGATGTACCAAAGTGCCTTTTCTCTGGGCCCTCAGTGGCATCTCCACTGCTGTTGTCTGCCCATTGGCTGAGCACCACATGCTCCAAGCCTGTGTCCACCACTGCTGTGGACACGCTCAGGCAGCCAGAGGGGAGCAGGCAGTGACAGATCTCAGATGGTGCTGGACGAGGGCTCTGGCCATCTCTTATTTTCTCAGTCCCTATAGGGGCCAACTCGCCTTCCCAACTGGTTGAAAAAAAAAATGACCTACCTGGAAATCAACTTCCCCTCCTTAACTCGAAGTGATGTTAAAATCTTAGGAAGTAGGACATTGCTGCTGGCAGTAAACCTCCCCCACCAGAGCACATGAAGAATAAAAACAAACAAACAAACAAAAGTCTTAGGTGGTTGGCAGTGTAAGCACAGCAGTGACTTTTGGACGGACGGCTCCAACCACAGGACTGAAACCTAAAATGACCCAGGCAATCAGCCCCAAATAAACGAAGCAGGCAGCAAAGACCTCTCAGGTCTGTACTTACTAGTCACGTTATGAGGCCACCTGGAAATAGTAGCCACCCCAATCCCTCCACCCCATACCTCAGAGCCTTTGTTTATGTTGTTCTCTGTCTAGAAGGACCTTCTCTACCTCATTCATTCCTACATAAGCTCAGTGCCACCACCTCAGTGAAGCCTCCCTTAACCTACACAGCCCTGAACTTCACAATCACAGTTACTTGTTTTTTTCTCTAATCATCCCCTAATTTAAGCGTGGCTATTGGACAGCACTTGCCATGTTTTACTATACTTAGCTCTTTTAAACATCAGATTTCTAGAATAGTTCAAATTATTTCTAAGGAGAGAATATATTTTGCAAACCCCAAACCTGTCTTGTAGCCATTCGGCAAAGTTTGTTGAATAAATTAGCCAGTGTCTGGATAAAATACCTTTATAATTATAAACTACTTGATCCTCAAAGCATCCCTCCAATAGAAAAGGACAACTGTTACTATCCCCATTTAACAGATGACATGCATATGACAGGCTGACGCTCATTCACTCAACTTAGGTTAAATGTGTGCAAATTTCCAGTGTAGCAAAGTGTTTCTCGATGTGCACACGAATTTCCTGGGGAGCTTGGAAAGATTCAGACTGATTCAGCAGCTCTGGTATGGGGCCTGAGATTCTGCATTTCAAACATACCCCCAGGTGACATTATACTGCTGGTGCTGGGGCCACATTGCCAGTCTCACCTACCTAACAGGGTGGCCGAGAGGAAGAAAAGATCCAATTAGTATAGTGAGTACGTAGCAGGAACTGGTGTCTCTGAAACCATAGGAAAGAGGATGGATAGACAGCTTTATATCCACTTCACAGAGGTGAAAACTGAGGGCCTGAGAGACAAAGCGACTCCTCCAAGATCTAATGCACCCTCTGATACCGGTTCAGTACTGTCTAGACTGCCATCTACTGCTCTGCATGTCAGGGGGATTCCCAGATGAAGGTACCACATCCTGTCCTCAGCAAGGTGATGAGGGTGACACACCTGCACCTGCAGGGACTATAATACAAAGTTGAGCGAGAGAAAAGCCAAAAGTCCAGAAGCGGGTGAGCACGTGCCAGCCAGATCTTACGTAAATCCGTGCCACATCTTTTGTTCCCTACCCATGGCTCAATTAGACTGGAGATGGGGGTCTTCTTCTATCAACCCAATCCCTTTAAAAAAAAAAAAAAAGAAAGATAAAAAATAGTAGCTTTAGGATTTTTCTTTTAAGCACTGAACCTCTTCAGTGGAAAGTGCTGCCCTTCCGACCTGTTGATGTAATTGCCATAATTGAAGATTCCAGGCTCCCATGTGAGTGGACAGGGCCCCATTCATCCATCGGGTCAGCGAAGTGTAAACCTGCTGAGTCCTTCAGATGCCCTGGCCGCAACCGCCCCCCACAGCCCCCTCCAGCCCTGCAGCCTGGGCTCCCCGCAACGCCAGGGCAGCCAGGCCCAGGCCAGTCCCTCCTGCGATCTGGGAACGGTGCCTAATTAAGGGGTCTGTTCTCATCTCCATGGGGCCGACTTAACGCCTTCTGACAGTAATGAGAGCCACACGTGTGGGGGTGGGGGGTGGGAAAGACGGCCCACCTGCTGTCTTAGCACCCTATTAAACAGCAAGTCTAACACACACACACACTCACACACACACACACACACAGGCACACATTGCAGGCCTGCAGTAACCACCATCAAATCTTTAAAGCTACAAGGAGCTGCTCCAATTCTGAAAGAGGAAGGAACCAAAGAGAAGAAATAAACTGCCCAAGGGCACACAGTGAGTCACTGTCACTGGGACCCAGGTGTCCTGTTGCACCTCACAGCACAGACTTCCCCTGTGGAGGGTGGGACCCTCCACTGCAGCCCCAGGGGAGCACATATGAGTGTTGGGGCTGAGGAGGAGGCAGTCTTGACTACTCTGGAGCAGCCAGTTGCAGAGGGCCAGCCACAGCAGAGCAGAAAGGAGCTCTGAGAACAGATTCCTCCAGGGGCTTCTGTCTCCAGGACACCCTTTGGTACAAGACAAAGCAAACCTCAGAGGGGAACACTCAACTGCTGCTGGTGGATCCACATCTAATCCTTCTGACATCCAAAAGGAGCTAGTCTTGGTTTCCTTCTCGTGCATGCTTTGTGTCCCTGTCTAACCTCCTACCAGTGTCCTGTCCCCACAGTCCTCAGTCCCAGCCCCCTCTCCTGTCCGCTTCCCATGAGCAGCTTAACTAGCTGCTCTGTGCCGATTCTCTTCTGTTTTCCCAACGGAGGAACTTTGCACAGTGCTGGGCACATGGTGAGTACTCAGTAAATATTTAGTAAATATAATAAAAGTCAATTGATGTTAGCTCCAGCTCTAAGACATGTTAGTTCATTGTGTTAATCATAATTTTGTTTATAGGCGGGGCCAGAGAAGCCTCCTGAGATGCAGGTGTAGCAAAAATGCTGAAAATAACGTGGACCAAATCTCTGCAATACTGGCCCATTAATAAAGATGGTGAATGAAAGGAATGGAATATTTCAGTTATGTCCAATTCCAGTTCTAATTCCAATGGCACAGTGATGAATCCCAAAAAAGAAGCCAACATATCCTGGATACTAACGATCTAATCTGGATATGCAGACTCCTTCCAGAAGCTCCGTCACTGGCATCTCTGCTACCATCTTCCCTCTTTGGACTTCCCAATCCTCTCTGCACACTAGCGCTCAGCACGGTGGATCTCTCTACTTGTATTATGTCACACCCTTGCTCAAAAGCCTTCAGTGGTTTCCCCTGCATAAAATCTGCACCACCCGGCTCTCAGGGACCTTGTGGGTCTGGTTTGGCCTCAGCTCAACACCGCAGTTTTCCACTTCTCTCCAGAGCAACTGCTTCCCTCCGCTTTGGTCAAACTGGTTTCCTTACCCAACTCAGACAGCATACAATAGGGAGTGGGAGTAACGATAAAATTTGTAGCCAAAAAAGTCAGGTGTGAGTCTCAGATTCACCATCGGATCTCTCTGAGTCTAGTTCCTCAAGGGTAAAATGGAGATGATAATTATGTTCACTTTGTAGAGTCGGCATGAGGATTTTGTGATGTAATGGATGTTAAAGGACTTTACAAACTGTAAAGGGCCGAAGGACAGTTGTTCATCTCTAGCCATGGATTATTCCCAACTCCAGCATTGTCTTTGATCTCACGACTCACTTTCCCTTGCCCTTCTCCATATCTTACACCCACTCAAACCCAACTCCAGCCCTGCCACCCGTAGAAAGCCGTACCTGATCCCTCCAGTTCTCACTGATCCTGGCTTTTAAAGTCATGCCCATAAAGCATCTTGATTTGCTCACTGTATCTTACGCATGTCCGCCTTAGAACTCCAAGTTTATGATTATTTACCTACAGATGATATAAACATTCAGGTTGCTTACAATGAAAAAGTAAGTACATCTATAATAGCAAAGGTCAAGATAAAAAAGTGAAAAATCAGAAATGTCATTTTTTTTGCTAAGGTGTATTAGCTTGCTAGAGCTGCCATTCCAAAACACCATAGACTAGGTGGCTTAAACAACAGAAATGGATTTTCTCACAGTTCTGGAGGCTGGAAGGCCAAGATCAGGGTGCCAGCATGGTGGGCTTCTGGTAAGGGCTTTCTCCCTGGCTTGTAGACAGCCGACTTGACTTCTAGTTATGGCCTCACATGGCAGAGAGAGAGAGTGTGTGTGTGGGCAAGATGTCTAATTTCTCTTCTTTCTTCTTATAAAGGTGCTAATCCCATCATGAAGGCACCACCCTTAGGAATTCATCTAAACCTAATTACCTCCCAAAGGCCTCATCTCTAAATACTGTCACATTCAGGGTTCGGGTTTCAACATATGAATTTAGGGAGGGGCACAATTCAGTCTGTTGCAGGGAAAAAAAGGACAATTATGTCCCCTTTTAAGGGACTGGTTAAGTGGCTACTGCAGCTAAGTATCCTTGGAGGATAATCTTCATTTCCTCTTCTTCACATTTCTATACAGGGGAGACTTGCTCTCCCCAGAATATGAAGTAGGAGGGTTGGAGTGAGCCTTTCCCCTCTCTCTCCCTTTGGGGAGAAGGAATAACTAATGGGTGACCCGTAGGTGTTCACGGAGTAAGGGGCACCAGGAGACAGTCACTGCCTTTTGCTCCTTTGGGCTCCTCAGAGCAGAGCAGACACCTGCTTTCCAGCCTCTCTTGACTTCTGTGATAAGCCGCCTGCTCGGGGAATTGCCCCTCTCTGCCACCCACCACCACTACCAAACAGGATGGTCACTATTCTCCTGCTGCTTCTACTCCACTGGTTTTCTAGAAACAGGCCCATAATCTTTCCCTTGTAGTAGCTTGAAAAAGTGGACTCACAGTCTGCATGGCAGAACATGCCGATCCCAAAGCCTAGCTCAGGGAGGAAGTATGAGATCCCACCCCCTCTCCCAATACAGTGGTTAGAAGAGAGCCCTGACATTTTGGAAGCTTACTTGCCATCTGATATGGTTTGGCTGTGTCCCCACCAAAATCTCATCTTGAATTGTAGTTTCCATAATCCCCACATGTCATGGGAGGACCTGGTGGGAGGTAATTGAGTCATGGGGGCAGTTTCCACCATGCTGTTCTCATGACAGTGACTGAGTCCTCATGAGAGCTTATGATTTTATAAGGGGCTTCCCCCTTCACCTGGCACTCATTCTCCCTCCTGCCGCCCTGTGGAAAGATGCCTTCCACCATGATTTTGAGTTTCCTGAGGTCTCTCAGCCATGCAGAACTGTGAATAAATTAAACCTCTTTTCTTTATTTCTATTTTTAATTTTTTTTTTTTTTTTTTTTTTTTTTTGAGACGGAGTCTCGCTCTGTCGCCCAGGCTGCAGTGCAGTGGCAAAATCTCAGCTCACTGCAACCTCCGCCTCCAAGGTTCAAGTGATTCTCCTGCCTCAGCCTCCCGAGTAGCTGGGATTCCAGGTGCCCACCACCATGCCCGGCTAATTTTTGTATTTTTAGTAGAGACAGGGTTTCGCCATGTTGGCCAGGCTGGTCTCGAACTCCTGACCTCAGGTGATCGACCCGACTTGACCTCCCAAAGTGCTGGGATTACAGGCATGAGCCACCATGCCCGGCCCCTCTTTTCTTTATAAATGACCCAGTCTCAGACATCTCTTCATAGCAGTGTGAGAACAGACTAATACACCATCAATCCAGCTGATGCTCTGAAGTGCCTTTGGCCAATGGTCTTGAGCCTATTCTCAGTCACCCCTAAAGGGAAGGAGAGATGGCTTTAGACAATCCAGCAAGCACCAGTGTGAACTATGAGCTTCTTGATAGCCAAATATCACTGACAAAAAGTGGAAATATGGCTAACATGAAAGAGAAAGAAGACTATGGCCTGATAGAAGGGATGTTGAGTAACATAGTGAATGGGGTCCTCAAGGATGGCTTAGCAGAAGACATCAAGATGGCCAGCTTTTGTAATAGTGTGTAATAAAAACTAAGGGCAAGGTATTTGTTATTCAGTGTGAGAGATCTGGATTAATACCATTCAAACCTCTTGCTTTCTGCTGACCCAATCAGATATAAGGAAAAGGCTTAATTCATTGTCTCAATCATGTTCGGGGCAGGAAAGAAATATCAGACAATTTAAAATTAACCTTGTACACGACCATAACCATGAGAATAAAAACTCTTGTGACTCTTTGGAAAGTAATTTTACAATATTTATTGAGAGTCTTAATTATGCCCTTCTCCTTAACTAGAAATTCCAATTCTGTAAATTTATCCTAAGAAAAATAAAATGTTAAAAGTTTAGATTGTTAAATACATTAGGAAAATCATGGTACATAAATGATGAAAAATTATGCGGTCATTTGAAATGAAACTTATGAGGAATTTATGTTGCTGTAATGTTATATGACAAAAGCATGTAATAAGTTATATACAATGTATATATTGTACATACAGTGATCATAATCATGTAAAATCATAAAGAAAAGTTAGAAAAAGGGCAAATAATGAGAGTAGTTATCTTCTTTCACCTTATCTGTATTTGTCTATTTTTTTCCAGTAAGCATACATTATTTAGAATTGAAAATAAAATAAACTATAATTATATATATCATATATCTTATATATCATATATATGATATATATATATCTCTTCATACTTTAGATACCAGCCTGGAAGACAACGGAGCTGTCATTCTGTTAAAAAATTAAGAGAAGTACGCAGAACCTGCCTTTTTCTAAATGAGAAGCTTTGGAAGCGACTGGACACTTTTGGCCATTGCAGTCCACAGGTAGCCTCTCTGGGGGCAATAGACAGACTTTTTCACTTCTTGTATTTACTCCCCAAATGCTTGATTACATAGCTTGTCACCTGTCAGGGGGGCCAGCTAGCTAGTTGCTGGGTTGAGTGGTTAATCCAATGATTTGTATAGCTGGCTCACTAAGGAAATCATAGGTACTCAATATATAGCTACTGAACAATTCAATGAATGATTGAATTAGTTATCATTTAACCTATTGGCTGGGAAGTGCTGAAAGAATTCAAACCCTCTTAATATGCTTCAAGTCCAGCCTGCACTCTCTACCTTCAGGGATCCCTGCTGGGCCACTTGGCCCTTGCTCCTTTCTCCAGCAGAAATCATCCCCCCTGTACCCCTTTCTCCACTCCCACATTCCCTTATGGCCTGGTACAGACCACTGCTGTATTATCTGAGTCATTAGCATAGCCCTGATGCCATTTGTTTATTTGTCTGACTTCCTCACTTGACTCTGAGCTCTCTGCAACAAGGTTTTGCATGTTGTTCAATTTAAAAAATCTGCCTCTAAGGTTATAAGCAGAGCCCAGGACATATCTATTCAACATGACATTTCATAGGGGTTCAGCAAATGTTTGCAAACAAACAAAAAAGGAATGCAGGACAAGGATATTTTGAGTACCAATGAGCCATCCAGCCCTGAGCTAGGTTCAGTCTCTGAAGGCATGAAGAAGGAACCACAGGAGAATTAACATAACTCTCACCACGCTTCATTGCAATCCATCGTTTACTTGTTTCTTTTCACCTGTAGATTATAAATGTCATGAAGACAGGGGCTGTGTCTGTCTTATTCACCTAACTAACCACAGCAACTCACACCATGCCATGGAAGGCACTCAAAAATTTTATGTTGAAGCGATAAGTGGATGGCAAAGGCACCCCAATTTTCAGGATTGATTTCCTCCAACTGTAATTAGTCACTGAGCAAAACAGCCCAGGCTGGAGTGCAGTGGTAGGATTATGGCTCACTGCAGCCTCGACATCCTGGACTTAAGTGATCCTCTCATCACAACCTCTGGAATAGCTGCAACTACAGGTGTGTACCACCACGACTAGTTAATTTATATTTATTTATTTATTTATTTATTTATTTATTTATTTATTTATTGAGAGAGACAGAGATCTCATTTTGTTGCTCAGATTGGTCTCAAACTCCTAGCTTCAAGCAATCCTCCTACCTCGGCCTCCCAAAGAGCTAGGTGTGAGCCACTGTGCCTGGCCCTCTTGCTTTCTTATTGAGAGCCAAGTATAGTTGGAGACTGGTGGAGGTTTTCTCTCCCCAGCAGAAGGTTACCTGGAGACTTTGGCAAGAGCCACAGCAGTTCCTAAAAGGAAAAGAAACCTCAAAGGAGAATGTTAATCTCCCCGATCAGGTAAATGAGCAACAACAGGTAACAAATAATTCACCCCAGTGATCCCTCAGAATTGCATGCCTGTCTTTAAATCTCCTTATACAAGCTGACTTCCTTAGAAAAAGCAGGTAAAATCAGAAAGCAAGAAAGCAAGGAAGGAAGGGAAGGGAAGGGGAAGGGAAGGGAAGGGAAGGGAAGGGAACGGAAGGGAAGGGAAGGGGAGGGAAGGGAAGGGGAGGGAAGGGTACGGAAGGGAAGGGAAGGGAAAAGAGAGAGTCCTTAAATTCTTGAGACAAATTGCAGTGGTAGGATTATGGCTCTATCTTGACATTTTGCAAAACTACATCCGAGCCTATCCTTTGCTCAGCTCTACGTCAGCCAAAGCCTCAGTTATAAATAAATTCACAAATATACGGAACGCTGGGCCTCGCCCCAAGGCCAACGTTCCTCGTTCATGTGTGCATTCACCAGCTCCAGCTCTCCCTGGAAACATCCTTTTCTATGTAACAGCCTAAATCATCCTAAAGAGGACATTCTCCAACATTAGCATACCTAACAATCAACACGGAGATTTCCAGGACCTGTTCCAGAAACACGGATTCAGTAGGTTTAGGGTGGAAGTTTGGAATCTGCCTTTTAACCAACTCCCTGCTATGGACTGAATTGTTTCACCCCAAAATTCATATATTGAAGCCCTCACCCCTAATGTGATGGCATTTGAAGATGGGGCCTTTGGGAGGTCATTATGTTTAGATGAGGTCGTGAGGAAGGGAGCCCCATGATGGATGGGATTAGTGCCCTCATAAGAAGACATGCCAGAGAGCTCTCTCTACTCTCAAGTACCCAGGAAAGGCCATAACAAGACACAGCCAGAAGACAGCTATCTGCAAGCCAGGAAGCGCCCTCACCAAACAGACACGGACCCTGCTAGCACCTTGCTCTTGGGCATTCAGCCTCCAGAATTGGGAGACGATCAATTCCTGCTGTGAAGGTATTTTATTAAGGCAGCCAAAGCTGACTGAGATACTTCCCCGATCACTGTGATGTCCAGTGCCGAGGGCCTATGCTTTGAAAATCAATATTCTAGTCTTAGGCCAAAACTCTCCTCCCTGCTTCCCCAGCCACTCCTTGAGCTTTCTTCTTCCTCATGGCCCTCTCGGCCATCTGGACAGGCTTCTTCCTGGATACAAGTCACATGAATGTCACTGACCTGTGACTTTGTCTTTGTTTCCTGAGTGCATCACACAGTACATGGCCTACGGCAGGCATTCAGAAAATATTGATTTCATGAATGAATAGGTGAATGAATGAGTGAGCAAATGAATGAATTTATATCACATAGAATAATTAACTTCCCTTTTAGTATCTCCCTAATCCTTCCAACTCTAACTTGAGGAAGCTATGACTTGCTTTCAAGATCATTTTCCAGGCCTGGCGCGGTGGCTCACGCCTGTAATCCCAGCACTTTGGGAGGCTGAGGCAGGTGGATCACCTGAAGTCAGGAGTTCAAGACCAGCCTTGCCAACATGGTGAAACCCTGTCTCTACTTAAAATACAAAAATTTGGCAGGCTTGGTGGCCGGCGCCTGTAATCCCAGCTACTTGGGAGGCTGAGGCAGGAGAATTGCTTGGACCCACAAGGCGGAGGTTGCAGTGAGCTGAGATCACACCACTGCACTCCAGCCTGGGCAACAAGAGCAAAACTCTGTCTGAAAAATGAATAAATAAATAAATAATAGGATTATTTTGCATCCATTCTATTGTTTTGTGGGAATCTTTCACAGTCATTGCCTGGGAATCCAGTGATGAAAAGTGGCCCACAAATACAATCTAATGGAGGCCCTCAGGTTATTCACTAAAGCTCAGAGAAGATCATTTTCCAATCAGAGACATCCACAAGTGGAATGGTGCTAGAATCTTCCCTCCCCTGCAGGAAAGCCCTGGTCAGCCAGGTCAGATGTGGGCAGATGGTTTGCTCTTCTCCACCGAGTACTGAGTGAAGCCTTGGGCTGGAAATCCAGGTAGGGAGGTTAAGGACAAATTTGGAATTAAAACACAATAAGCCCCTTCATTCCTTCCCCATTCACATCCTCCATTCTTAAGGCTGGGAAAAAAAAAAAAAAAAAAGACCCCTTACTTCCTCATGCAAGACTGCCCCCAGGCTTAATCAGAGCCTTAACTGCTGTCTTTGGCTGTGTTGTAAGCACAGTGACAATGATCAGGTTAGGTGTTTAGAACAGTATGATGTCAGTCGGGCTTGTGATGAAAGAGTCGCTGACAGACAGTGCAAGCCAACACCATGAGAACAGCTCAGGCTATGAGGTCATTCAGTCCAACAGGTAGGCAGGTTTGTTTTCTTAGCCCTGACATTCGATGCCCTGCCGGTTATTGAATAACCAGAAATGAGGCGACTCCTACAAATTCCTGGATCTCCATGGGGATGGAGAAGGAGGGGCTGTGCTTCGTCTGCCAAACTGTGGGTTTGATTAAGGGCACCGGAGGAGAAGCCAGAACTGGAAACCTGTCTCTAGGAAGATGGGTAGATGAAAGAAAATGCAAGAAAGATATTCAGGGGCAAGTGGGATCATTTCTGCAGAGGTGAAAAATGATTCTGCATCCCATTTAATCCAATCATGCCCTGCTCCTAGAGAGGAAAGTGAAACACCCTCAGACTGAACACGTGGTCAAACTCAGATGAATGAAGCAGCCAGTTCACAGCAAATTTACTTTTCAAAAGACTGGGAAAGAAGGGAATTGGGGGAACTTTTTTTCTGTTTGTTGAGGAGGGAGATTATTTATTAACTTGTTTATTTTACTACCCAATATATACCACACATAGGACCCCATGTGCAAAGATTTCACAGCTTTAAGAACATGAAATATTTTAATGAAAGACTGTAGTTAACATTTCAAAAATGTAAGTTCAAGCCAAGCCTACTTTCCTTTGAACATTTCATAGAAGTTAAAGGAAACGGGGGTTGTAGGTTTTTTTTTTTTTTTTTTTACGTATTTATTTATTTAGAAACAGAGTCTCACCTTGTCATCCAGGCTGGAGTGCAGTGGTGCCATCTCAGCTCACTGCAGCCTCGACCTCCCAGGCTCAAGCGATCCTCCTGCCTCAGCCCCCCAAGTAGCCGGGACTGTAAGTGTGCACCGGTACACCTGGCTAATTTTTTGTATTTTTCATAGAGACAGGGTTTCGCCGTGTTGCTCATGCTGATCTCCAACTCCTGAGCTCAAGCAATCCGCTCACCTCGGCCTCCCAAAGTGCTGGGATTACAGGTGTGAGGCACTGCACCCAACCTTTAGATTTTGTTTTTAAGCATAATATTGGAGGTGGAGTGATCTATTAGTTTCCCGGGGGGGCTGCCATAACAAAGTACCGTAAATTTGGTGGCTTAAAAGACCAAGAATGGGCCAGGCACGGTGGCTCAGGCCTGTAATCCCAGCACTTTGGGAGGCCGAGGTGGGTGGATCATCTCAGGTCGAGAGTTCGAGAACAACCTGGCCAGCATAGAGAAAACTCGTCTTTACTAAAAATACAAAAATTAGCCGGGTGTAGTGGTGGGTGCCAGTAATCCCAGCCACTTAGGGGGCTAAGGCAGGAGAATTGCTTGAAGCCGGCAGGCGGAGGTTGCAGTGAGCTGAGATCGAGGCATTGCACTCCAGCCTGGGCGACAGAGCGAGACTCGGTCTAAAAAAAAAAAAAAAAAAAGACCAAAAATGTATTAATGTATTGTGTCACAGTTCTGGAGGCCAGCAGTCTAAAATCAAGGAGTCAGCAGGACCATGCTTCCTCCGAACCCTGTAAGGGAAACTCCTTCCTTGCCTCTTCCTAGTCTCTGGTGGTTGCCAGCAATTCACGGCATTCTTCGGCCAGCAGCTATATCACTCCAACTTCTGCCTCCATCGTCACGTGGAGTTCTCACCTTGAGTGTTTCTGTCTCTGTGTCTCATCTATTTTTATGACACCACTCATACTGGATTAAGGACCCACCCTATTCCATTATGACCTCATCTTTATTAATTACATCTGCTATGGCCCTATTTCCAAATAACGTCAATGCTGAGAATCTGGAGGTGAAGACTGAATATCTTTTTAGGGGACAGGATGCAACCCCCAACAGTTATAATCAGACCAACTCGTAAAAGAAAAACACAGAGCTCACGGCCTCCACCTAGTTCCTGTCAGCACTGGGAAGGCCCTTTTACATCAGCAAAGCTACTGATACATCAGTGATTCTTTCCAAAGAGGGGAACAAACCATTCATTCATCAATTATTTGTATTAATAGCAGTAGAACTAATAATACTAATACTAATAGTACTACTACTAGCAAAAATAATTGAGGACATGCAATATATGAGCAGGTAAGAGCCAAATTGTTGTGGTAGAAGGCTGAGAAGGCTTACAAGAGCCCCTCCTGCTCAGCATCACCCCAGGCCCTAATCCCTCATTCTCTGGGGATGAAAGGCCTTGAGGCATGGTTTAAAAGCCATTAGACTACCTATGGAGAAACTGAGGCCCAGAGGGGCAGCAGTGAAAACCTTCTCCAGGGACACACACAATAAGTCTATGGGAGGCAGGACTGGAAGCTGGGTCCTTCCCTGATTTCTAGTTCAAAGCCTTCTGTACACGCTCATGTTCTTGGGGTAAAGCGAACAAGAAGATGGAGTTTCATGCTCTCTGGTCTTCCTTTTCAACCAGACTGGCTCTGTTCCTGCAGCCTCCTGTGTGTCCCCACACTGCATTTCCTGGCAAGGAACATCATTCACATCCAGCCCTAGGTCCCGGGTATGTGCTGTGATTCTCATCCCCAGGGTCAGCGGAAGGGACTCAATGACTTTCTGGGTCTTTTCCAGTCCAGGGATACTGCAACCACAATTAGGCTTCCAGATTTTGGTTCTAGTCTGCCACTTCCTTGCTCTGTAACTCTGGTGAGGCCCGAACTCCCTGGGAGTTACCCCACTGCCACAATGGCCCTTCCATCCCTCTCTGGAGGAGAAACATCAAGGTTCACAAGACACAGATGGGGAGTTGTTTTTTCACAAGTTTGCTCTGAACCCGTCTTTTCCTGATCCACGTAATTGACAGAGACAGAATGAGTTGGGGTTGGGGGGTGGTGCATAGACTTCAAAAAGCAAACAAGCCCCCAAGGACATTTCCAACTCAGTCTGGGACAGTTTAGAAATCCATATGCAAAGAACCAACCCTGAAGCCCAGGTTTTTTAGTCCAACCAACTAAACCCTGGGAGGACCTTCCAAGGAGGCAGGGGTGCCGTCATGAAATGCTCTGTTCGCATCAGAGGTCAGTCTGACTTCCGTCCACTAAAACTACTCTCCAGAGACTCATTGCAACCTTCAACGCGGTTGACTCCGGAGTCACTCTCCTGCCAATCAATGGAACGGCAGTAGTTTGGAGAAATTGCCAGAGAGTAGTGCCTCTAGGAGTCACGATTGGCCTCGATGTGTGGATTCAGGACATCTGCATTCCAGCCTGGCCTCTGCTACTTACTAGCAGATAACTTGGGACCAATCTCTTAAGTACTCTTGAGCCTGTCTCAGAGCTGTAAATTGAAGCAGCATTCATTCAACACTCATTGGGCACCTACAACGTGCCAGGTGCAGTGCAGGGGGATGGCATATTTTGCCCCTCTCTACTTCACAGGCTGCTGTGACTATCAGGCTGTTCGGAGTCTGGAAGTGGCTGCTAAACGCTCGTGATGTGTAAATATTGTTTCTACTGCAGGACTCCCATGGAGTGGGAGATGCGTCCTCAGCGAGTCCCCTACCCTCGGATGCTCCTGCTCTGATTTCATATCAAAGCAATGTGATTAGCTCTGAGGTTTTTCATGATTTTCCTTCATAAGACCCATTTCGAGGGCTAAAGTGACACCTGAAAAAGTATGATTCATGCAAATAGGCATTCTCCAGTTTATCTTTTAAAATGGTGGGCCGGGTGTGATGGCTCACGCCTGTAATCCCAGCACTTTGGGAGGCCAAGGCGGGCGGATCACGAGGTCAGGAGATCGAGACCATCCTGGCCAACATGGTGAAACCCCATCTCTACCAAAAATAAAAAAAATTAGCTGGGCATTGTGGTGGGCGCCCATAGTCCTAGCTACTCAGGAAGCTGAGGCAGGAGAATGGAGTGAACGCGGGAGGCGGAGGTTGCAGTGAGTTGAGATCACACCCCTGCACTCCAGCCTGGGTGACAGATCGAGACTCCATCTCAAAAAAAATAAACAAATAAATAAATAATAAAATGGTGAATGGTACGGACTTTGCCTTATTCATCCTGCAGGGTAATGCACACAATAGGTGCTCAATAAATACATTGAATGAATAAATGAGTGAATGAATGCATAAAGGCAAACCTTGCCTCCAAGAAGGAGAATTAGTAAAATGGAATCAGAAGGAAGGAAAACTTTTCCATGAGTTTATTTTACCCATCTCCCAGGATACCAGCATCCTCTCTAACCCTCTCCAGCTCCTGTGAATGACTCAAGGTTGTGTGTTCCCTCTCCAGCTATGATCCCTCTGTCTAGTGATCTTCATGCACTGTCAGGAGGCCAGGTGCGACTCCAGGAGCTCAGGCTCCCGACATCTTGTTACAGCAGTCATACGAAGGAAGTGGGCGACGTGCGTGTCCCCCACCACCCTCGCACTAACTGCTAGGGCCAAGAGGAATATTTTCATCCAGTCTTTCTCCCCCTTTCTTTCTTCTTTTAAGCTTCTTCCAGTGATAAAAGCTGGAGCAAATTGAAATTGGCAGCTCTGTGGTCTTCAAGCAACAGGAAAAGTACTAGAGATCATGTGAACGACACTTTTGAAAACCCTTTAAAAAAATCTAATCTTGCCTCAATAAAAACGACATCATGTCACTGTAATCGGCAGAGGAAAGGCTTGGAAGTTGCTGGCAGTGGCCCAGCAGAGTTCAGGGGTTATGTTGGCTGTGGTGATTTCCCACGGGAAAGGTAGACGAAGAGTACTGCCTCTCAGGTGAGCTTCTAGGCCTGTCAGGTGCGAGGCGGAGTGGGGAGGAATAAGGTCCCCCCGCCATGCTGAAGTCTCCCTGTAATCTCCGGCACTGCTGTAACAGACTCAGAGGCAGGCTCCTCCACCCTCCTCTCCCACCTGCCTTTCTTCCTGATGGAGCTTTTGGCTGTGCTCCTCCCTCTGGTTGGCTGACTTTAAGGGAGAGATGAGACAAGAGCTAACCTGGGAAGTCTCAATGAGGACAAATCTCCTGGTGAGGGCACAGATCTAGAGCCAAGGAGGGTGGCACTAAATGCTCCAATTGCACTCAAGTGTGGAGTCCTTGCAAATTCACCCCTGTGTGGTGTGAGCCAAGGACAACAATCAAATGGCAGGTTGACCACGCTGTAGCTGGCCATTCTGCAACGGGGGCTGCTTTAGCCCTGGGAAGTGCAGTGCTGGGAGCTGGTTTTCACAGCGTTGCAGCTTACCTTCCATGGGTAGTTCCTATCTACTACTAGCCAGTAATCCATTAGCATGGATGGGTATATAAGGGATAGGCAAGAATGGCCACTGCAGGGTTTGAGGGACAGGGGCCACAGATGGAAGAGTTACTTTTCAGGATTTACCCTTTTGTACGGGTTGACATTTTTAAACATATTTTGAAGTTCAATCATTCAATAGATAAGGAGACAAATCCATCAGCAGCAAATGAGCCTTCAGATGATGCCTGCCTCTCCTGCATCCCTCATCTCCCTTCTCAGACTGGGGGACACAGGCCCCTTCAGGGATACAGACTGGCCCAACAGGGAGAAATCTGAAATTTCACTTTTACTTGAAGGGCGGAGGGAGAGGCAAAGACATCTTTTTTTTTTTTTTTTTTTTTTTGAGATGGAATCTCACTCTGTCGCCCAGGCTGGAGTGCAATGGCCTGATCTCGGCTCACTGCAACCTTCTCCTGGGGTTCAAATGATTCTCCTGCCTCAGCCTCCTGAGTAGCTGGGATTGCAGGTGCCCGCCACCACGCCCAGCTAATTTTTGTATTTTTAGTAGAGATGGGGTTTCACCATGTTGGTCAGGCTGGTCTCGTACCTCTGACCTTGTGATCTGCCCACCTCAGCCTCCCAAAGTGCTGGGATTACAGACGTGAGCCACCGTGCCTGGCGGAGACATAATTTTTATATAAAAAGAAATACGGGTGCGATAGCTCACGCCTATAATCCCAGCACTTTGGGAGGTGGAGGTGGGCAGATCACTTGAGGTCAGGAGTTCAAGACCAGCCTGGCCAACATGGTGAAACCCCATCTGTACTAAAAATACAAAAATTAGCCAGCGTGGTGGCACGCACCTGTAGTCCCAGCTGCTCAGGAGGCTAAGGCAGGAGAATCACTTGAATCTGGGAGGTGGAGGTTGCAGTGAGCCAAGAAGGCACCACTGCACTCCAGCCTGGATGACAGAGTGAGACCCTGTCTCAAAAAAAAAAAAAAAACAACATGAATCCATGTGGAGTACAATGCAACATGTACTTGCATGAGTAAGAGGAAACATAATACAGTGTCTCATTCTTAGCATATGCCGTATACCAACAAGCCAACCACTGAGCCCGTGATGTACTCAGTGCTGGTTCTTGTGTTTAAGGGCCTCTGAGGCTGCAGCGGCATTTGAGGTTGTACCTTCCTCCAGGGGCTGCACACGTGAAGCAGAGCCTAGTTGCTGTCCATGACCTAGACAGCAGGTGTTCAGAGGGCTAGTGGGTGTTGGGGTGGTGGTTGCCTGGAAGGGCGGGAAGGATCTTGATTGGCTGAGGACACTGAGGGCTGGGAGACTGTACGAGCAAATGTTGGTAGTGGCTTGGCCTTGGTAGAGGGTTGGTCCTGGGACAGAGACAAGTATGAGGTGCAGCATAGAGACAACAAAAGTGGATCCAGATTACAGAAGGCTCCCATGGGGGAGTCACACGGTTTACATCCATGTGGCCAGCGAGTGCTGCCCAAACTTGCTGTGTTAGTTCTACCCCCACAATACGTCCAAAATCCAACTACCTCTTTCCTACCATTCTGTTCCAAGCCAGCTTCACTTCCTACCTGGATTAAGGTTACAGTTTACCTCTATCCTTGCCTACACAGAGCAGCCAAACTGATCCTTTACAAAGATGAAGCATGTCAGCCAGGCACGGTGGCTCACACCTGTAATCCCAGCACTTTGGGAGACTGGGATGGGCAGATTATGAGGTCAGGAAATTGAGACCATCCTGGCTAACATGATGAAGCCCCGTCTCTACTAAAATACAAAAAATTAACCAGGCGTGGTGGCACATGCCTGTAGTCCCAGCTACTCGGGAGGCTGAGGCAGGAGAATCGCTTGAACCGGGGAAGCAGAGGTTGCAGTGAGCCGAGATTGTGCCACTGCACTCCAACCTGGGCAACAGAGCAAGACTCCATCTCAAAAATAAATGAATGAATAAATAAATATAAATAAAACAATGGAGCATGTCATGTAACTGCTTTGCTCAAAACTTTGCAATGGCTCCCGCCTCCCCGAGAGCAACAGCTAGATCCTTAGAATGCCCTCCTTCTCACCAGCCTGCATCATCGGGCCCCATCACTCTCACTCTCAGCTCCATCTCCCTCCTCTTCCCCTTGCTCACTTTGCCCCAGTCACTCTGGCCTCCTGGCTGTTCCTAGAGCAGGTGGTCCTGCCTCAGAGCCTCTGCACCTGCTGTTCCCTCACTCTAGAAAGCTTCCCCCAGCAAGCTCAAAGTCAAAGTCATCTCTCTAAGGCCTTTCCTGAGCATGCAATTTAAACCTGCACCCTCCCGGCACTCCCCTTCCCCTTTCCCCACTTAATCTCCCTCTAGAGTACCAATTACCTTTTAAAATAGCATTCAACCGATTTATTTATTTTGCTTATCTGTCTCATCTAAAATGTAGGCTCCAAAAGCATACGGATTTTTTTTTTCTGCTTTCTCAGAATGTAATGTCAGGCAAACTCTTCCTCTGGAAGAGTTCCCATTAATAAGTGTTGAAGAAATGAGGGAAATTTGAAAAAATTCCCATTAGATCACCACAATAATAGTTGCTACAGGCAAGATCCTTTGATGGATTCTAAATTTAGTAGACAGAAGTATAAGCAGAAATAGACCATTTGCATAGTCTTGAAGTACTCTCCTCCACCCCCTACAAAAATATTTAGGAAATACAAAGGGAAAATTGTAACTTTACAGTGAACCATCCTTGCAGAAACCACTTCAACAAAGTGATCACGGTTAACATCAGCCATGAGATAAAGTGGCATCATGGAACCCCTGACATGACGCCTGGAAAGGGCACATTCTCTCTGTGATGTCCTTCCAATAATGCAGCTCCTCGACACAATCCTGAGAAGACACCAAACAAACACAAATGGAGGAGCAGGCTACAAAATAACTAACTAGTCCCCTAAACCGTCAGCAAGTGCAGGAGAGTAAGGACACGTGACTTCTAAATGCACTGTGGAATCCCAGATGGAATCCTACAACAGAAAAAAAGACTTGACTAGGAAAAAATGGTAAAATCCAAATCAAGTCTGCCATTTATAGTATTGTACCAAGATGATTCTCTTAATTTTGATGACTATTCCACGGTTGTGTAAGACTGACATAAGGGGAAGCGGGTTAGAGGGTATAAGAGAGTTCACTCTACTATTTTTGCAACTTCTCTGTAGATCTAAAATTACCTCAAAGCAAAACATTTTGAAAAAAAATCATCAGAGGTAACTGCAAATTTGTCAATCTTCTTTCACAGAACTTTATACTTCTCAGCAGAGAGGAGGGAAAATCAGTCTAGGAGATATCATTATTAAACTTGGAATTTGGAAGAAGGGTCTGCCAGTTAGTTGCTCAAGTAACAAACCTGGTGTCCTTTCCTTTTTTTTTTTTTTTTTTTAAAAAAAAAAGGTCTCACTCTGTCGCCCAGGCTGGAGTGCAGTGGCACAATCACAGCTCACTGCAGCCTTGACCTCCTAAGAACAAGTGATCCTCCCACCTCAGCCTCTCGGGACCACAGCTGAGCACCACCAGCTGGGACCACAGCTGGGCACCACCACACCCTGCTAATTCTTCATTTTTTTTGTAGAGATGGAGTTTCCCTATGTTGTCCAGGCTGCTCTCAAACTCCTGGGCTCAAGCCATCCTCCCGCCGTGGCCTCCCAAAGTGCTGGGACCACAGGCACGAGCCACCACAACCCACTCAGTGTCGTCTCTGGACCCCTCTTTCTCCATCATGGTCCAATCCAGTCACCAAGACTTGTCGGTTCTCTTAATCTCTTGAATCCCTCCTGCTCTCCTGCTCTCCAGCCCCACCAGCACCTCGGAGGCCGGCCTTTCTCTTCTCATCTGGGTTACTTCTGGAGCCTCCTCTGGAATAAGGGGAAAATAGTGAAACTCTAGAGAAGGGCGCTCTTTGCAGACCTGGAAAGGTTCTTCCTTGCAAATGAACGGCATGGAGTTACCTCAAAACCAGGGAGAGGGAAAACCAATGTACGTGACATGGAAACCAGGGTAAAAAAACTGCCTCAAACCTACCAACAAGTGAAAGGAAAAATCTACAAAACTCAAAAGCCCGTCTTGGTCATTCTACACAATCTTTATTCTGTGAGAGAAAGCAGTGGCCCCCACTCAGGATATCAAAGACTGAGGTCCCACGTTATCTCCAGGTTTTACTCAAAGAACTCTGCATATTTGGGTATTATTTTTATCTCTCCCTTTCGTTTATTGTCTCAGGGTAAACACTTGTGATTCATAAATGCCTTAAGAGTGAATCAGTATTCTCCTGTTCAAACCAATAGAGGCCACATCAAACAATAACCTACAAGGTATTATTAATCATTAAATAGGCATATATATGAGCACTCAGGCAAGGGAGCCATTTTTCTTCTCTTGTTTGTTTGTTTGAAGGAAATTAACAAAGTACAAACCTTGATTTTGACCTATTCAGAAAAAAAGCATTTTTTTAACCATTAAAAACTTAGTTAAATTCAAGGCTAAAAGGGCAAATATTTCACGTGGGAAAGTGCTCCTTCGTTCAGGAGACTTCCTTCAGCCATTAAACTATGGTCTGGACTTCAAACTGTAGTAGTTACTTTTTCCATAAGCACACACCATCAAAAAATGAACATTCTCAACCATGGCTGGTAGAAGCAAGAGTCCATTGTAGAATTTCTATGCCGCGGCCACACCTGGGTGCAAACTGACAGGTGGGCAAGCCCAGAGCACATCTGCTCTACGGAAGAAGAAGAAACCAAGTCATGTCAAATACACTGTAAGCACAGGCGTCACGGGACCTCCCTCTCCTTCTCCCTGCCCCTATACACACTAAGGGAGGTCCTCTAGCCTCAAAAATGGGGGTTCCTCCCTCTAAGGATGGTAGATCAATGGTATCACCCCTCACAGATATGGAGGTGCTAAAACATGAATGATTTTTCAATAATATTTCTTCTCCCTGTCCCTCAGGAAGCATCTCTGCTCACACCACGACTGAATGGACACGTGAATCTAGCACATACAGTCGGAGGCCCGCAGAACCGGGATGGTCATGTATCCCAGCCTATGCCAGTTGTCCCAGCATCAGTGTTACTAGCATTATCTTCCACTCTCAAAAGTGTTCCAGTTTGAACCCTAAATGATATGGTCACCTCCACAGAACTGGAGCAGGGAGGGTCTTGGGTGTTCATCTTTCCCACCAATCTTATCTCCTACAAGTGAGATGGGTGTCCAGGGAGGATCTGCCCAGGTTTATGCTTTTGATTTCCCCCTCCCTCTGCAGCCCTTCCCATGCCCTCCTGTCTCCGTGAGGGAGGGAGGACCACCCGCGCATCCTGCACGCCAGGCCCATATTGACGCCTGATGCTTTTGCCTCCATTCAGATCTCGTCTTTCTGTGAACCTGAGGCTCATTTCAATTTTTCAAGGCAGGACCACAACAAGCTCTGCATCTGCCTGCACACAAAGCCGAAATCACAGTGCTTGGGTGGTGGGGACCCTTTTCCCTGAAAAAGAAGAAGTCAGATCATTTCTTAAGGTCTCTCCCAGCCTTAGAACCTGTGATTCATAAGAAACTGGCTGAAGCTTTTGGTTTGTCAATATACTCATGAACCAATTTACCAGAGTGGTTGCCATCCATTTCTTTGAAAAAATTAGCACCTTGTGAATTTTCATTAGATGAATGAGAGTACCTATCTTACATATCAGAGATGTTTATTATATAGTAATAATAAAGGTAGCTAAGAACTTACATTGTATTTACAAAATGCCAGGCACTGTACTAAGCACATTACATATATTGGTCCTTATAACAATCCTATAAGGTAGGTACAATGAATACCTCCCCATTGAACAGGTAGGTAAATCAAGGTACAGAATTGTTATGTCACGCAGCTAGAATGCAAGCAAGTGGAACATGAACTCAGGCAGTCTGGCTCCGGAGTTGGCCTTTTCACCACCCTGCTATCCAGTTTCTCCAAATATCTATGTAAATATATGTTCAGCATTCCTAACCGAAATAATCAGCAGGCCAGTCAAATCTCAGCTGTAAAACACTTGAAGTTCACAGAGCAAGTCACTATTTACATCTAGGAGGGCATTTCACCTCCGCTTTATAGACCCCTTTACCGATATCACTCAGCATTGTAAAACAACAGGTGTGTTGAGGTGCTCTGTCAAAACAGGTGTTTCTGTGTGCTGTGTTTACACTTATTTAACCCAGGGTGTCTGGGCACAATTGCTATTTATTTCTTAGTTATACGGAATCTTCCACAGGGAGCTCGTATGAAAAGAGGTGTGAGGTGGGAAAAGAGGTGAGCAGCGGCCCTACCTCAGGACCTTTGGCTGGGCTTGTACACTACCCCGGCGACTGCTCACTGGACTCACCTGTCCCAGGCATCCTCCACACTTTCTTTTCCAGTCTTCCAGAAGGACCAGTGATCTGCCTACTGGCCTTTTTTCCCCTTCCATCTGCTTCCCAGCAGTGGAACCTGCCTGCTTAAATCTTACTTATTAACTATACATAGATATGGCAGACTGCGATTACAGTAGAATTGTTTGGGAGCTCAGTATCTTGCCTCTTCCCACGTACCTTACCCTGGGAATTGCTTTGTACTTGCATATTGCCATGTGGTGGTGTGTCTTTAATAACCATCAATAAAGATAGGCCTGGGAAAACACAGACAGCCACAGACTCCTCTAAATTCACCTGACTGCACAGAACAGAGCTGTCTGGAGAGGTATCCCGGCTACCCAGAGGTGGTCACCAGGAGTGGTCAAAGTAAACCCACCCCCTTTGATTCAGCAGCCAGAGAGAATTTAGAAGAATAGGCTCACCCTCTGAGGGTTCCTTGAATCCAATAAAACCTGTTCTTAAGTCTGAGTTCATTTATGGATTTATTCTCCAAATATTTGAGAGTGACGGTTCTGTGAAAAGTATTCGCCTAATACCACGAGGTGTTTCATAGCTTCTTTATCAGAAAAGCAATAGAGATCAAGGATGTGGGAAGGAAGGGGAATTTTTTTTTTGAGACAGGGTCTAGCTCTGTCATCTAGGCTGGAGTGCAGTGGCACGATCTTGGCTCACTGCAGCCTTCACCTCCCAGGTTCAAGTGATCCTCCCACCTCAGCTTCTCAAGTAGCTGGGACTACAGGCACATACCATCATGCCCAGCTAATTTTCGTATTTTTTTTGTGGAGAGATGGGATTTTGCCATGTTGCCTGGGCTGGCCTTGAAATCCTGGGCGCAAGTGATCCACCCACCTAGGCCTCCCAAAGTGCTGGGATTACAGGCGTGAGCCACCGCACCCAGCTGGGAAATTTTTATAATATAAGCCTGGGGTGTCACACTCTGCACAGATTAATAGCATTTGAATAGCAGGCAGGGATGGAAGTAATTGTCAAAATAGGTAGGTAATTTTGCCTTGCATGTAGTAGGTGCTCAAGAATATTTATCGAGTGGAATTAAGTTAAACAGACAATTAGAAATTGGATGGTCTTAGCCACTGACTATACTGTCTGTCATCAGTGCAGGTTCACTCAATACAAAGAAAATGAGCTGGGATTCTACCCCTCCATCCAGGTGACAGGTGGTGCTAGATGCCGAGTCTAGGTCTGCCCCAGGTGCCAGGGCTTTGAGGGCAGGGAAGGAGATGAATAGCCACCCATAACAAGGAGATCAAATACTTGAACTTGAGTACTGGGGTGCTTCCATGACTGTGAGAGCCTATTGAAATAAAGGTCACAGCTGGATACATGTATGATATATGCACAGCGTGGCAACCTCCTCCAGGAGCCAGCAACATGCTGGGACTTTATTAGGAGACCTCCCATCAGGTAAGGTGAGCCTGGCACACACCAGCACGCTGCAAGAGAACCCGCTCTCCCTGAGTCCTCTCAGATTTCAACCAAAGCTGGTCTGTGGAAGTCCAAGTCCGCAAAAGGACAGACTCCTTTTCCCTACTAAACATAATGTCAATACACCGAGTGAGGCTGAGGGAATCCAAAAATGAGCTCTGTCATGTAGACAGTTGCCCACAGTAGTTAAGGAACTATGGAGATTCATGCTCGGTCCTTTCTCTGAAGCTCTGAGGATTCAGTGTACTGCCTCACCCTTTGTTCTGAGCCACTGTCCCCCGACCTCCTGCCCTGGACCATCACCCCTAGACTGAGTAGCAGGGTATGGTCCCCCTAAGTCCGCAGTCCTGGTCATCATCTCCAAACAACCCACAACTTTTCCAGCCTATGGGATTACATATACATATATACACACACACACACACACACACACACATAATGTGTATATATATGTGTGTATATATATAAAATGTGTATATATACACACATATAAAAAGTGTGTGTGTGTATATATACATATATAATGTGTGTGTATATATACATATATAATGTATGTGTATATATACATACATACATATATATAAAAAAATTTTTTTTACTTTAATTTCCGGGATACATGTGCAGAACATGCAGGTTCGTTACACAGGTAGACACGTGCCATGGTGGTTTGCTGCACCTATCAACCCATTATCTAGGTTTTGAGCCTTGCATGTAGTAGGTATTTGTCCTATTGCTCTCCCTCCCCTTGCCCCCCACCCCCTGACAGGCCCCAGTGTGTGTGGTTCCCCTCCCTGCATCCATGTGTTCTCATTGTTCAACTCTCATTTATGAGTGAGAACATTCAGTGTTCGGTTTTCTGTTTCTGTGTTAGTTTGCAGAGAATGATGGTTTCCAGCTTCATCCATGTCCATGCAAAGGACATGATCTCAGCACACGTAGGTTTATTGCAGCACTATTCACAACAGCAAAGACTTGGAACCAACCCACGGCCCATCAACGATAGACTGGATAAAGAGAATGTGGCACATACACACCATGGTAGCCTACGGGATTGTATGTTACACCTATGGCAATACAAACAGCATGGCACGAACAACTAACTAGTAAAAAGCGATGCAGCTTCCAGAATTCCACACGGGCCCTCATTCTCAAACCTGGTCTTCTTTTCTGAGATCTTCCCAGAAAGCCTTTCTGCACTAAATGCTGAACTAGGCAGCTCGACCCTCCGTGCAGGGACGCCTGGGATCCTACTTCTCTGTGTCATTTCCGGAATCTGCTCAGTCATCCTTTTGCTAAGTGGGACTCCTTTCCCTCATGTCTCTCCCTTCTGATTTTCCTCCACAAGAAAAGGAACTTCCCTCATTTCCTCTTCCCGCAAAGATGCACCTGTCCTCCGGATTACTGACATTCTTTACCAGATTGACAGACATCTCTTTTGTCCTCTCTGTTCCAATTTCTGGAAATCTGATTCTTGTCCATGGCTCTCCTTAAGAAAGAAAAGTCAGTTCTCTCCTGGCCTGTAAGTTCCTTTCTCCACCCTTTCTCTCTAGAGGTACTATTTTCCAGAATTCCTGTCTATCCCATATCCGGAGTCCCCAACAGCCCACAGCCCAGCCAAATGTCTCCTGCATTGACCACATAAATCCAATCTCTCCCTTCCTGGGATGCCCATCAGAGCCCTTCCAGCCTAGACAATCTAGAACAAATGGCTGTGTATGAGGACCAAATGCTATGGTGGACGCGAAAGTGCCTCGTCAACTGTCAAGTAATACCATGTGGGTGACAGGTACCTTAGGAACCTCCCACTCTGTAGAAGAGACCAGAAGGGCCCAGTCATGCTAGAGCCCATCAGTCTTTTTTTTTTTTTTTTGAGACAGAGTCTCACTATGTTGTCCAGGCTGGAGTGCAGTGGTGCAATATCTCGGCTCACTGCAACCTCTGCCTCCTGGGTTCAAGTGATTCTCATGCCTCAGCCTCTGAGTAGCTGGGACTACAGGCACGTGTCACCATGCCCAGCTATTTTTTGTATTTTTGGTAGAGATGGGGTTTCACCATGTTGGCCAGGATGGTCTCAAACTCCTGGCCTTAAGTGATCCACCGGCCTCAGCCTCCCAAAGTGCCGGGATTACAGGCATGAGCAACCATACCCAGTCATATCATCTTGAGCTGCAGCTGCGGCAGCTGCCTGGACCATCTTCTCCTGTTCTCTATGCCTGACATCTAAAAGTAAAATATATATTTCATTTGCAAACATCATCTCTCAACCACTTGGAAGATCCATTATTTTTCTCACTTCTCCCTCTCCTAAGCGTGAAGCCGGCCAGCAGCACAGTGTCTTAGTGCTCCAGCCCCTTCTCTGTATTCCTACCATCATGTCTTCTCTGGTCCTGAGATAAAAGCGTAGCACCACCGGAGCATCAGTTCTGGAGCTAGAACTATTCCCTCTTCCAATCTTCCTTTCAGAGCACAAATCAGGGAAACACATTGGCAATTATAAGAAGAGAGGACATGTGGTTTGGCTTGGTTTGGTGGACTGAGAGGCAGCCTGCCTATCCTGGACAGATCCTGAAAGAGACTTCCTATGTCCTGGAGCTGAGAAATTAAGATCCCTTCTTTTTCAGAGAATATAGCGTGATGAGCAAATCTGAGAAAGGAGAATCACAGCACGGCAAACCTGGGACTGTGCTCTGTGACACTACCAAAATCACTCACCAGCAGATGGCTCAGTGTCTTAGCTATAAAATTCATGTTTGGTGGTAATGTTGGTCACTTGCTGTAGACAATATTTAAAAATGTTTTTCTCCTATAGAGAGATACAGTAAAGAGAGTTTCTAGACTGGCGGGCAGTTCTGGTTTTGCTACTCCCCCGCTGGGAGGCTGCTTGACCCTGTGCAAGTCGCTTCTTCCTGGGTTCAGTTTCCCTGTCCATGAAAGGAGTGGGCTGACTCGGTGACCTCTTAGGTACCTTCTCCCTTCTCTTCCAGCTTCCATCTTTCTATAATCTGTGAGATAATGCAAGAATGCTGATGATGATGATCGTAACGAAAAATATGTTGTGGCCGGGTGCAGTGGCTCATGCCTGTAATTCCAGCACTTTGGGAGGCCAAGGGGGGTGGGTCACCTGAGGTTGGGAGTTCGAGACCAGCCTGACCAACATGGGAAACCCCGTCTCTACTAAAAATACAAAATTAGCTGGGCATGGTGGCGCATGCCTGTAATCCCACCTACTCAGGAGGCTGAGGCAGGAGAATCGCTTGAACCCAGGAAGCAGAGGTTGCGGTGAGCCGAGACTGCACCATTGCACTCCAGCCTGGGCAACAAGAGTGAAACTCCATATCAAAGTATATATATATGTATATGTTGTATGGCCGGGTGTGGTGGCTTAGGCCGGGTGCAGTGACTCATGCCTGTAATTCCAGCGCTTTGGGAGGCCGAGGTGGACAGATCACTTCAGGTCAGGAGTTTGAGACCAGCCTGGCCAACATGGTGAAATCCCATTTCTACTAAAATCACAAAAATTAGCCAGGTGTGGTGGTGCATGCCTGTAGTCCCAGCTACTTGGGAGGCAGAGATGAGATAATCGCTTGAACCCGGGAAGCAGAGGCTGCAGTGAGCCTAGATTATGCCATTGCACTCCAGCCTGGATGACACAGTGAGACTCTGTTTCAAAAAAAGAAAAAAGAAAATATGTTGATTCATCCCAAATCACTTTCAGGTCCTAAGTTTTACCAAATGGTTTTTCTGGATAGCTCAGTTTTTCTGTTTTTGATTTTTGGAGAAATTTGGTCTGACGTTACCATTTGGGCAGCTTATCAGCAAGGCAAACACATGCATGCCCTGAGTTTAAAGGGGATGGGCTTCACCCCACATTCCAGAGGCTTCCTGAGGTCCCTGGGCCTGCCCCCATATGCCCCAGCCCCAGCATGGCTCTGACCCTTTCATGCACAAGGGTACAAGTTAGCATCCCTGTGATCCCTCAGGGATACCCTCCTTCATCCCTGGCCTTGCAGGCTCGCCTCACTGAAGCTCTGCTCAGAGGTTAGGAGGTTAGCTGGGAGCACATTTAGAGCCTGCCCACCGCCGCTGCTGTGGCTGGGCCAAACGTGTGATTTAAGCCATTCCAGGATGCCCCGCCCCCACCCTACTGGGAAAGGCTTTCTTGGCAACCATCCTCTTTCAGAGCCATTAGAAAAGTGCACATTCCCTTGGTTTCACTGGCTCCAAGCGAGTGTTGGGGGGTGGGGGGAGTATTACAGGCTGCCGTTAGCCAATGTTGAAAGCTTCTGTTTTCCACCCCCACCTCCAGTTTGCAGTGCAAGGTCCTAGCTTGGCCAGGAATCAACCAGGCATTTTGTTCAGAAGTAGCAACTCATTTTTATCAAAGATGGAATGCAGTTGCAGTTGTTTCTAATGCCTCTGCATGACAACCAGGGCTCTTGCTCCAAGCACTCCCGACTCCTCTTTTCCCCGCAGACACTTTGCTTTCTCACCTATCCCTTTCTACATCCAAAAATTGGATGCAGAGCTGCTCAAGTGCCTCAGAATTCAGGAGTCAAAAGTTGTAGCAATTCAAAGTAGCTTTATTGTGTCTATTTTAAATGCAGGCTTTGGTGATCACAACTCTATAAACCCAACCGAAAATTACCCAAGGACCACAGCAGTTGGTGTGGTGAAAACAGCTCCCAGCTGGCTTCTGCCCACCCTACACCCCCCACACACCCCCAGCCTTATGCTGCTGTGGGCAGCTGAGCAAGTCCCTTCCCTCCCTGGGGCTTAGAGTACCCACTAGTAAGCAGAGACTCCAGATCAGCTTTCCTTAACCTTTTTTGATTGCAAAGAGCTTTGCGATTCTGCTGAAAGCTGTGGACCCTCTTCTCAGGAGAAAGAAAACGTGATGCATCCATTTATGCATTTGGAAAATATTTATTAAGCTCCTGTTAAATATGCACATACAGACACACGTTGAAATTCCATTTCAGGGGCTTTATAGGTAAAAAAAAAAAAATCCTGGTTATGAATTCTGCGATCAGCACATACAGACTGCTATCTAGAAAGACTATGATACTGATTCTAGTAGAGGGTTCTCAAGCTACCAGTCAGCACATGCCAGAGAACGGGGGCAGCAAGGTGGTCATTACAAAGGTGACCTCTAGTTGCCCCCCCCTTCCCAGCACCCCCACCTGGCACGCGCCCCAGCAAACATGCATGCACAGCCGGCCTGGAATGTGCTGTTTCTGGGCACTGGGACTGCTGGAAGCTGGCTGCAGCCCTGGAGAGATGACAAACATGTCTTTTCTATCCTGGGCTTTATTTTTCTCACGGTCCCTGAAAGGGCTGTGATCAGGTGATATGTGTGGGACTGCTCCCTGTACAGGTGCAGAGCAGGTACCGAGGGGAGGAGAAAATCCACCGTGTGTGTACTTACTCAAAGCTCGTTCAATAGCCCTCCCAGGATAGCTCTTGGCAGGGCAGCTACCACGTCTCTGGCAGGCTGGAGGGAATCTGAGTGTGAGAAAGTCAGTCATGCGGAGGAAAAGGGAAAAAAAAAAGCTTCAAGTCCTCAGGCAAAATACCTTTTTTCTTCTTCTCTTGCTCTCTCCTTTCTGTAGCTTTAAACCAAACCCACAAACCACTCTGATACCTAGGGGACAAAGGGGAGTTTCACTAGAGATGCAGTTATTTGTTTTATGGTTTGAAAGCAAACAGGTGATGCGGTAAGACAGAGAAGTCGCCCTTCCGGGGCGGGGGTGGGGGGACGCTGTGGGTGGAGACAAGTGCGGGAGCCCCTGGTTGTATGTATTGGGCATGACACGGTGAGAACGATTCAGAACGATGCTGGTGTCACAGGGGGATCAAAGAAGTGACCTCCACTGATGAACTGGGCTCCATTTTCTCTTTGCTTTGGGAGTCGGGGGAAAAGGATGACTGAAAAATAAAGGCTGTTTCTATCTATCTAAGAGCATTCTTCCAGATGCAGATGCTTCTTCCTGAGTTTAGGAGCTTACTGTCCCATTTGAGAAGGGGTGGGGAGAGGACAACGTTGGTCCTATTTTCACTGCCTAGCATAAGGAAACTGAAAAGTCATCTGTGAGCCCATCTGCAAGAAACTCTTCTTGAATGGTTAGAGTGGAAAGCCAGAGAGTTCCTGGAATTTATTTTTATTTATTATTTATTTATTTTTGGTCCAGACACAAATTCATAATTTTTTTTGTTACTTGAGCCTCTGTCCCCCTATCTAAAAACGTGTGTGTGAAAGTTACTTGCCCATTCCACCAGTCCAAGCACTCCCAAAGTGGCAATAAACGAGTTGCTGATTAACTATTTGACCCACGAGGCTGCTTTAGCCCCTTCAGTGAGACCCTAACTTGACCATATTCCATTCCCCATGCACCTTCAGGGCACCAAATAAGAGTGGGGAACAGAATCAGATGAAAAAGTCTCTTAGAATGGGCAGGGAGTGGCATAACCCAGTAGTTAATGAGGGCCGACCAGCAGACAGCAGTCAATGTCATGGCAGAGCCTGGCAGAGCCTAGCAGAGCAGGCACTGGTTCTGAAAGATTTGGGGGGAACCTGGAAAGGGTTAACATGCTTCCCCGGGAAGGGTTTAGTTCCTCAGAAGAATCTGGGTCAGTGTATTTGGGAAGTTTTTAAAAAGTCAGACGCTCAGTAGAAGCATTTTAAGAAGCTTGCAAAGCTTATTGGGGCCATGGCAGAAAGGAGGGTAACTTCATAGGCTCATCACCTTTCACCAAGAGGATTTTCACCACACAGGAAAACCCTACGTTTTCCAAAAGCAACAGACAATTTTCTGTCATCACCACTTTTCCATCTGTTTAAAATAAGAAAGAAAATTCCTTCCCCTTTGGCCCAGGTTGCAGGTCAACAAAGGAGGCATTGTTCATCATTTCTTCAGAACATGACAGGGCACAGCTCACTCTGCAGTGTAAGAAAACATTTTTTAAAAAAAATCTCAGAGTAGCCTTAGGGGCAACAGTGAGTAAACCAAAGCCTTCGATGAGGGAAATGTTTGGTTGCAGACTGGAGGACTATCCTGGAAGGTGGAAATGAGGCTTAGGTTAATACGGTCAGAGCCATGATTCCTTAGTTAGACTCAGGAATTAAATCTGAGTTCCTGAGTTCCTGGTTGGGGGTTGGGAACACTGCATTAAAGGGTAGGCAGGTTTGAGTTGAACTCAGTTCCCAAGAGCGTGCGGTCAATGTCCAGAGGAGCTGGATGTAGACAGATGCCTCTGGGAGTCAGTCTGCACCTGCCTCCTAGGAACCTTCTTCACTGGCTTGAACTGCCTAACTGCCCTTTCTGCCTCCAAGCCCTGCAATCCACTCTCCCACTTTTGCCAGAGCCATCTTTCTAAAGGGAAACCCTGATGCCTCTTCTTTGCTCAAGAATGTTTCATGGCTCTCCACTGTCTAAAGATAAGGTCCAAAGTCCTTCAGCAAGATGTTTAAGGAGCTTGTGACATGGCCTCAAGCTGCCTCTTCCAGTCCCTCACATTCCCTAGGCTCCAGACCATGTTCCCTGAATAAAGTCTTCAAGTTCCAGGATCTTGGCCTTTAATACCATGGGTACCTGCATCCTCTCCAGCCCACGACTAAGCACATTCCCAATGCCCCAATCCTACCTATTTTTCAAGGTACACAGGCCAATCCCTCCAGGAAGTTTTCCAAGGTACCCCAACTTAAAAGTAACTTAATTCTCCTGAAACTCCATAGCATTTTACCTCTATCCAGACATACGTCTCTCTTGAACCTACGACTTCCCAGAGGAATTTACTGGGCCATCCGTAGATGTCAGCTGTACACGTTTATATGTATCTCTAGACTGTTAGCTTCCAGAGAGCAATAACGGTCTTACTCACTGCTGTAAACCCAGGTAGACCAGCAATACTGTTATCCATACAAGTATGGTTTCATATTTTGTTTCTGTCCTCCTGATCTCTCAAGCCACCACCTAACTCAGAAAAGAAAGGAAAAATAAAGGAATGTCCAGTCATCAATCAGAAAATCAGCGTCTGTCTGCCCCCGCAGTTTACTGTCAACTTCTAGCAGGCCGCCACTGTATCTCTCACCGTGGAAATCCCAGGGTTTAACACAGTGTCTGACACTGCGCGTGTGTTCCACAATGAAAGAGAGAGGGGGGCTTGCCCAAGGTCACCCAGAGTCAGGAACCACTGAATCTCATCCGGGACGAGATCTGGCGAAATCATTGACAACGTTATCTCAGTGGGGAGCTGGGAGGCCGGAAGGAATGAAGTGTCTGAGAACCGTGCGCCAGGCCTCCGGGACGCGGGAAGGGCTGAGGGGGCGGGAGGCCACATCAAACAAGACGCTGGGCTCCCGGGCTGCCCGGAGCCGCGAGCCGAGCTCCCAGGCGGCGGGAAGGGCGGAGGGGGGGTGGGGGCACGGGGGCCGGCGACCCGGGCAGGCGGGAGGGAGGCGGAGGAGGCGGCCGGCCGGCCCAGGCAGTGCGCGCCGCCCGCCCGGCTCGGCAAATCCCCCAGGGAGGCCGCCGCCAGAGCCCTGGCGCTCCCGGCCCGGCGCCCGCCACGTGGCACCCGGCGGCGGCGGCGGCGACTCCTCCCGGCGCGCGGCCCGGCCAGCAGGCAGCACGCAGCCGCCCGCGCCGCCCGCCTCCTCCCGGGCGCCCGCCGGCGGCCTCCCGGGCGTAGTGAGGGGGAGCGGCCCGGCCGCCCGGGACCCGGGGAAGGGGCGGGCGGCGCGAAGCCGCTTTAACCGCAGTCGCCGAGCGGAGGCAGGAGGCTGACCCGGCCGCTTCCTAAGTGCGGTCAGGCATCCCGTGACCGCGGCGGGCGCCCAGGGCCCCGCGGGGAGAGGGCGGGGGCGAGGAGCAAACTTGGAGGCCCCCACCTCGCCCCCGGGCTGTTGCGAATGCGGCTTTCGGCCGAGTGAAAACCCCAAGCCCGAAAGTGAGGGTGGGGAGGCGGGGGTTGGAAGAATTCCCCACTCTCCACCCCGGGTGTGCGCTCCCCGCCGGGAAGAGCTGACCTTGGCCTGGGGAGGCGGGGGTGGGGAGAGAGGGTAAGCGCCGGGGCTCGGCTCCCAGCCCGCCGCCCCCTCGGATTCCTGGCCCGGCGGGGCCGGAGGAGGGGGCCCCGGACACACACACACACACACCCCCCACACGCAGCGCGCGCCAATGAGCCCGGGCCAGGCGCAGGGGGCGGGGTTTTCCCAGGCTCGAGCACAGCAGCTGCTATTTACCTTCTTGGCTTCTCCCGGGGACCAGGAACCGGCCCCCGCTCTCCGCCGCCCGTCGCCGCCCCCCGCCTCCCTGCCCCCGGGGCGCGCGCACACACACTCACTCACACACGCACGCACACACACATCCTCCCGGCCCGGCCGCAGCCGCGGCGGCAATAAAACATCCTGGCACGTGCTCCGGCTCCAGGCGCGCCCACGCCGGCCGGCTGATGTCAAACTGCAGCTCGGCTGGTGTAGCTCTTAAAGGGCCCGCGGGCGCCGGGGGCCGAGGCCGCCCGCGGGGCGAGGAGGGAGAGGCTGCTTCCTTGCCCGCCACCTCAACGCGCCGCAGAACCTAAAGCCTACGGATGAAAAGGGAAAGGGTGGTGAAGGAGGGCGCGAGTCCCTGAGTCATTGCCCTCGGAGCCCCCCTTGTTCATTTTTTCATTTGAAATACCGTTTCCTTCCACCCAGTTGGAAATTATTCTGATTGTTTCCTGGGGAAGCCCGGGGTCTAAGGCCCCAAATCCAAACGAGGAATTTCTGAAAGACGGGGTGGGGGTGGGATTCAAGAACTACCTTGCTCCGAAAAACCTGCATTTGTGAGGTAGAAGGCAATTTTTCCTTTTTCTGCATGGAAACAGGAAAATTTTTTTGGCCCTTTTCCTTTACCATCTACTTTCACCCTCCTGAATGTAAAGTCTGAGCGGGAACTTTAGATGTGTCGGTAACTCACATTCTTACACCCGTCCCCCCCTCCCCCCGCCCCCTTTTAACCACTGCTGTTTTTTTCTTTATTGTTTATACCTTTAAAAAAAATATGTTTCAAATGAACTTACTACAGTCAAAGCAGCTCTGTTACATATGAGAGAGGGCATAAAGAGCAAAGACCCTGGCTCCAAAAGAAATAGACAAGATCAAGACCAAAGCGGAAAGAAAAAAAAAATCTCTAAACCAAAGCCCAGAGGGAGAGTAGCAAAGGGTTAAAATCCTTTTGATTGACGTTGTAGCCTCCGGTGCCCTGGGCTCAGGCGCGCGCCATTGGCCGCCAGACCTTGTGCCTGGCGGCCAATGGGGGGGCGCGGTCCACGAGCGGTGCCGCGTGTCTCCTCCTCCCATTGGCTGAAAGTTACTGTGGGAAAGAAAGTTTGGGAAGTTTCACACGAGCCGTTCGCGTGCAGTCCCAGATATATATAGAGGCCGCCAGGGCCTAGGGATCACACAGGATCCGGAGCTGGTGCTGATAACAGCGGAATCCCCCGTCTACCTCTCTCCTTGGTCCTGGAACAGCGCTACTGATCACCAAGTAGCCACAAAATATAATAAACCCTCAGCACTTGCTCAGTAGTTTTGTGAAAGTCTCAAGTAAAAGAGACACAAACAAAAAATTCTTTTTCGTGAAGAACTCCAAAAATAAAATTCTCTAGAGATAAAAAAAAAAAAAAAAGGAAAATGCCAGCTGATATAATGGAGAAAAATTCCTCGTCCCCGGTGGCTGCTACCCCAGCCAGTGTCAACACGACACCGGATAAACCAAAGACAGCATCTGAGCACAGAAAGGTAAGGGCGGTACCTGTATCTCTTTGCAGCCCCTCAAAATTAAGTAGGGGTTGGGGGGCTTCTTTCTGTCTTGAAACCCCGGGATGGCAGATTCCATGGGAACACAGAACTCTTTTTTTTATTTGCAGTCATCAAAGCCTATTATGGAGAAAAGACGAAGAGCAAGAATAAATGAAAGTCTGAGCCAGCTGAAAACACTGATTTTGGATGCTCTGAAGAAAGATGTAAGTGGGGAAATGCTGCTCGCTCTTTTAATTAAAAAACAAACACTTTCTCAGCTACTAAGAGTGAAACCCCCCGCCCTGCGGGGTCTGGCACTCGCTGGTACTGCGTTCTCCCAGGCGGGAGGGCCCGGCCTTATTCGCTGGGGTCCAGAGATAATGCTTGCGCTCCGTGGCCGGGAGGAGGGACCCCCAGCACTCTGAAGCAGCTGACACGGGGCTCACTTTCCTTTCTTGCCTACTCTATGCAGAGCTCGCGGCATTCCAAGCTGGAGAAGGCGGACATTCTGGAAATGACAGTGAAGCACCTCCGGAACCTGCAGCGGGCGCAGATGACGGGTGAGGGCGGCTCGCCGCGTCCCCCTGTGCGGGCGTCCCGCTCGCCTCGCGGTGATTTCTTCCAGACTTCCGCCCGTGGTTGTGAGAGGCATTCAGCTACATTTTACTGCCTTGGCTCACTCTTGCGTTCCCACGGTCTGGGGCTTATTTATAGCCACAACTCCAAGTTGTTACTGTTCCGGAAAGGGAGGGAAAGAGGTTGCAGCCGCGAGGGTGGCGGGCGCCGGGTAGGGGCGAAAGGACTTAGGACTGTGGCGGTTTGGAACTGCGTGGAGCCTGGGGGTCACTGGTTTAGCACTCCTTCCCGTTGCAGAAGGGGAAATGAGGCTTGGATGATGGATTGGGAGGCATTGTCCAAGGTCACATCGCGCGCGGGGGTGGGGGTGACAGATCTGGGGCTGAGATAGGTTTAAATGCAGCTACAGGGAATCGGGAAGGAGTGGCTCGGCTTTTGGCAGCAACGCTAGTGTGGAGAGGTGGCTGGTTTTTTCTAAACCCATCTCACCCTCCCTGCCGGAGGCAGTTTCACGGGCGCATGGTCAGGGAGGCGCGCCACAGGGACCTCCCAGGGCGGAGGCAGTGGCCACGGGGCCAGGGCCGTTCGGTGACCCGTCTGTCTCTTTCTGGCCCGCAGCTGCGCTGAGCACAGACCCAAGTGTGCTGGGGAAGTACCGAGCCGGCTTCAGCGAGTGCATGAACGAGGTGACCCGCTTCCTGTCCACGTGCGAGGGCGTTAATACCGAGGTGCGCACTCGGCTGCTCGGCCACCTGGCCAACTGCATGACCCAGATCAATGCCATGACCTACCCCGGGCAGCCGCACCCCGCCTTGCAGGCGCCGCCACCGCCCCCACCGGGACCCGGCGGCCCCCAGCACGCGCCGTTCGCGCCGCCGCCGCCACTCGTGCCCATCCCCGGGGGCGCGGCGCCCCCTCCCGGCGGCGCCCCCTGCAAGCTGGGCAGCCAGGCTGGAGAGGCGGCTAAGGTGTTTGGAGGCTTCCAGGTGGTACCGGCTCCCGATGGCCAGTTTGCTTTCCTCATTCCCAACGGGGCCTTCGCGCACAGCGGCCCTGTCATCCCCGTCTACACCAGCAACAGCGGCACCTCCGTGGGCCCCAACGCAGTGTCACCTTCCAGCGGCCCCTCGCTTACGGCGGACTCCATGTGGAGGCCGTGGCGGAACTGAGGGGGCTCAGGCCACCCCTCCTCCTAAACTCCCCAACCCACCTCTCTTCCCTCCGGACTCTAAACAGGAACTTGAATACTGGGAGAGAAGAGGACTTTTTTGATTAAGTGGTTACTTTGTGTTTTTTTAATTTCTAAGAAGTTACTTTTTGTAGAGAGAGCTGTATTAAGTGACTGACCATGCACTATATTTGTATATATTTTATATGTTCATATTGGATTGCGCCTTTGTATTATAAAAGCTCAGATGACATTTCGTTTTTTACACGAGATTTCTTTTTTATGTGATGCCAAAGATGTTTGAAAATGCTCTTAAAATATCTTCCTTTGGGGAAGTTTATTTGAGAAAATATAATAAAAGAAAAAAGTAAAGGCTTTTATGTCTTCGAACTGATTCTTCCAGAATATGTAAAAAGGCTTTTGGTGGAATTTGAATTACATGTAATTGGTAATTCAGGAATTGACTCTTTTGTTATTAAAAGAACATTTGTAAAAATCCATCAAACTTTTCACCAATCCTCCATGAACTAAAAAGACTAAATTCCATTTACTTTACAAGCAGCCATCTGGTAAGGCTTCCCTGATAAACTTGTGGTCAGTCTCTTAAAGGATTTCCAAAAAAAATGTTTTTAAGTTGCAGTCGGGTAAGTCTGCAGCCCTTGTTCTTCTAGCTCCTCCTGAGGAAGATTGAACAGGACTAAATTCACGAAGCTAATGGATCCAATCCTATTGCCCATTGCACGTTAAGGGTGGTTCCTGCAGCTCTCCTCTCAGGGTAGCTCACCAGCATCCAAAGCAAAAACACTTCCAACTGCTGCGCCTCCTTCAAGACTTGGGGTCTTCATTAATTAGCCAATCCTTTGGTTCAAATAAGACGTTCCCTAGCACCCAAAAGTTTCCTCTCCGCACCCTCTTAAAGCAAGCTGAAAAGGTCAACAGATTCCTTCTGCCAAGGGACAGTTAGTTAGACTCCCAAGTGGAGGCCGAGCCCAGATGATTAACACCAGACATGTGTTTTTGATAAGTTTCTGTGCTTGGCTCTAATAGAGAAAGCATGTGGGGGCTGTGCTGGCAGGCACACAGGCCATCTTCCCCTTTTAATACAAACAGCAAGCGACCCCTTCGCTTGGTCATGCCCCATTTCCAGGCAAGATGTGGGCTCCAGATAGAAGCAAAAGGGTTGTCTCGGGTTTCAGCTCACATAACCCTCCTTAACAAGTCCTAACTCAAAGCGGACAGCTTTAAACTGTGCCAGGATCTGCAGGGAATTTCTTCCAAATCCCATCACAAAGGCTTGTCAGATTTTGTCAGATTTGGCCAGGTGTTTGACTGCATCCAGGTGTTGGGGAAATGAAAACCACGAGCCCTGCGAGACCAGACACATCAGCCGCGCTGTGGGTCTGGCGGGCGCGCCCTCCTCCCCCACCGCCGGCCAGTCCTCCTCCCCCCCGGCCCCTCCCGCCAGCCTCCTCTAACCCCCCTTTTCTTAGACCGGCTTCTGGGAGGAGAAGGATGAGGCGGGAGAGATCAATCTTTGAAGCTTTCCTAACAAAGATAAAGCCAACGATTTTCTGTCTTGTTTCAAAAGCTTTACCTCTCCCCCGCCCTGCTCTGGCCTTTCCCACAGGCCAGTGTGGAGAGCGGCTCTATCATAGGAATGATCGGGGAGACAGCAGTTTTCCACTCAAGATACCTTCGGACCCAGCTTCCACCCCAGAGGGAGAGATTTAAAAGAGACCTTTTTGAATTTGTCTCCTACCTGCCTTACTTTGTGTACATGAAAGGTGTCCAACACACCTTCCGCCAAAGAAACACACACACACCCTTATCATTTTTCCACGTTTTCCCTCCTGTTGAAACACAAACAAAATAACAATCGTCCATTAAGACACCCAACTCAAGCACCAGTGTTTCATTTGGTAAGCCTGTCCTCTGGGTCCACTAGGAGCCCCTTAACAGTCCTGGTAGAAAAAATCAGACCTCAATGTCTTATTTTTACACAAGGAATTCCTTTTACATCGATGTCTTTAAAATTCACAGGAAAAAAAAATCTCAACACCAGTTGAAAATTCAATGTCCCTATGTTGAAGGGGAACAATTTTAAAAGTGCATTTGTATTAATATCACCGAAAGTACATAGATATCTTCCTAGGGAGGGGACTAAATCAAAGGAAAAACACAAATACGTTTTTTTCTTTTTTTTAATTGGTGATTTGAAAAGAGCACTTTTTTTCCCCCTGAAAGCTAGGTTTAGACTATTCCACGAGGATTTTTTCTTTGTTACAGTAAGGGGAGAAGGTGGAGACCCCACTAGGCTCCAAACCGGAAAGGGCACTTTCCAGTTCCTGCCCAGCTATGCCACCAAATTCACTGTGTCACCTTGGATAAGTCATTTCCCTTCTCTGGGTCATTTCCAAGTCTGGAAAATGAATGGACTTATTTCTAAGACGCTGTACCCTCCTGCACTTTGGCTGTTTCTGGAGTAAGTAGCTGAGGGAGAGGCGAAACTTCAAAAACGACTTCAATGATGTTGCCTCCCTGGGGGTCCCTCAGGCCTGGCCTAATTATACGGCCTCGGGCACACCAGCAGCCCCTCTCGCCGGCCCCCAGCAGTGCTGATCGCTCGGGGAGATAAGGCACGACTCCAAACTGCGTCCGGATGCGGGCCGCGGGCCCCGGCTGCCGCGCGCATTAGCCTCTCAATGGAGCCCTTCCGGGGCCCCGGCCCCCCGCCGTCTCCAGCAGCATCCGGAGCGGGAAAGGCGCCGAACTGGAAGGGGGTGGGGGTGCTCTTCGGTCAACACGAGAGCCCTCTCCAAGCGCAGAAGCGCGACTCCGGAGGCTCGCCCCTCCTCGCGCCCCGTCCCACCCCACGCGTTTCTGGAATGGGGACCCTGGGGTTTCGTTGGACCCCCTCGTCGTCACCACCGTCCCGGGAAACCTGTCATTAAAGTCAATTAACTTTTCCCACACCCGTTGGCCGGTAACAACCCGCTCCTAGCTTCCTCCCCGGCTCCTAAGTGCAACCAGATGGGCGGACGGGCTGCCCCCGCCGCGCGCCCGCCGGGGCGGCCCGGGGGTTCCAGGGAGGCCGCCCGGGGCCCTCCGCCCGGGCGGGAGCCGGCCAGGGCGGCCACGCCGGGCCAGCCCTGGCGGCCCTGCGGCCAAGGTGGTTCGCTTAGCAGGCCCGGCTGCTTTCTGGCAGGAAATGAATAGCTCCCAGATGAGCTCAGGCAACCTGAGAGGTCGTGAGAACGGCGCGAACCCCCGCCTGTGCAGCCGGCAGCCTGCCAGGCCGCGGGGGGAGCGGGCGGCGGCGGCGGCGGCGGCGGGAGGCCGGGAGGCCCGGCGGGCGGGCGGGCGGGCGGCGCTGACACACGAGCCCGCGCCCGCTCCCGCTGACAGGCAGGCCGCCGCCCCCGCTTCCCCCGCCCCGGGCCCCAGCGCCTCCCAAGCAGCAGGCCTAGGCCGCAGGAAGGCGGCCGCGCGGCCCCGCCGGGCCTGGGGGTGGGGCCGCCTGCCAGTGTTTTTCCAGTTCCCCCGGTAGCTCCGGGCCGCATTTAGTAGCTGGGGAAACTGGGCCGAGGCCAGGGCCGGGGCACTAGAGGCCCTCGCGGCCCGCAGAGCCCTGCCAGGCGGCAGGCCACGCCGGGGCAGGAGTGGGCAGAGCGGCGGGGTGAGGCCATCCCAGCCCACAGAGCCGTCCCAAAAAAGACCTTGCCACCAGACAGCAACCCTGGACGCCTAAAAAAAAAATCCTCATTTCTGAAAACCCTGAGCGCCTACTGAGTGCTCAGCAGGCCCAATTCCCACCAGCCTCCGCCGCACCGAGCTCCCTGTGTAGCCGGGGAGATCCACAAACACCCTCGTGACTCATCCCAGGTTTGATGTGCTAAGTGCCAAAACTGAAGTTTAAACAAAGGGCACCTAGAACAGAGAGATTAATTCTGATGAGAGGAAACCAGGCCGGGGAGGTTTTTCAGAGTTGGCACTTGAAGCCGAGAGGTGAAAGATGAGTTCAACAGGAAGGGTTAGAAGCAGAAGGGTGAGGGAAAACGCGGAGATGAACATATATACGTCCAGTCTGGGGAGATGTCAGTATGTTTACCATGGTGTGGTATCTAAGTTTTCAAATATACAAATTGGCTTAGAGGTCAAAAAAAGAAAAAGAGGGATAAGCCCTGCCGCAGTGGTTGGCTTAAATGCAATACAGCCCAGGGGTTAGAAGCACGTGGTCTGGCTCCTGGCGGCTTGGCTTAGGTTTTGAGCCCGAGGGAAATTACTGAACTCCCTGCCTCAATTTTGTAACTCTGTATCTCATTTGTAACTTAGGGCTCGTCAGGGTAGTGCTTCACAGGGTTGAGAAGATGAAATGAGTACATGCACTTAAAGCATTTAGAATAGTGCTGTCAGCTCTTCGGATTCTTAACCACAGTGAGGGACGTTCACCAGACAAGAAAGCCAGTCCCGGCCTTTGCCCAGCGATGGCAGGATCTGCTTGTAATTGCACCAGGCCCTAGGTGAAAGGACCACTGCTTCTTCCTTAGTTTCTGAATTTCATGCATTCATTTGATAATTATTGAACCAGGCACTATGGGAATAAAGGGAGAAGAAAGGCATGGTCTCTGTAACTATAAAGCTATCTGGTAGACAAGACAGCTTCCACACAAGAACAGCACTGCTGGGCGCGGTGGCTCACGCCTGTAATCCCAGCACTTTGGGAGGCCAAGGCGGGTGGATCACAAGGTCAGGAGATCGAGACCATCTTGGCTAACATGGTGAAACCCCGTTTCTACTAAAAATACAAAAATTAGCCGGGCTTGGCGGCATGCGCCTGCAGTCCCAGCTGCTGGGGAGGCTAAGGCAGGAGAATGGCGTGAACCTGGGAGGCGGAGCTTGCAGTGAGCCAAGATTGTGCCACTGCACTCCAGCCTGGGTGACAGAGCGAGACTCCATCTCAAAAAAAAAAAAAAAAAAAAAAAAAAACCAAGAACAACAACAAATTGCTGTGTTAAGTGCCATAAGGAAAGAGTCATGCACAGTGATGGTACAAAAAAAGATTGCACGTCACAACAGGTAACTTTTTTGGTTCTCCAAATATGATTAATCCTTGTGATCATTCATAGAAATTACTGGCATAGTAAATAATTAGTCAAATTCCACCTAAGAAAGGTGATTCTCAAATGGTTAATTTCAAGGGTAATTATTTTACAATACTAACATCTTCTGCATGAGCATAATTACCTAGATGTGGTCAAGAAACTGGACTGCGAGTCAGGAAATCTGAGGCCTGATCCAGTTGGACTGCTACCTGTGAGATGCTGGCCAAGTCCCCTTACGTCTCTGGGCTTCGATCTCTGTGCCAGCACAATGAGAACGTTAGGCCAGGAAGCCTCTGAAGTGCTTTCAACTCCAGTCTGTGATTCCCTGTCCTCAGTGTGCTTCTGTGTGCCTTTACAGTTTGACACATGCTCTGTGGCTCTAGCAATGTATATCAGGCGTATTTCAGACCTTACAGCCAAGGCCCTGGCAGGATTGTTACAGACAAGTTTTTTGTTTTTTTGTTTTTTTTTGAGACGGAGTCTCACTCTGTCGCCCAGGCTGGAGTGCAGTGGCACTATCTTGGCTCACTGCAAGCTCTGCCTTCCGGGTTCACACCATTCTCCTGCCTCAGCCTCCTGAGGAGCTGGGACTACAGGCACCCGGCTAATTTTTTTTTTTTTTTGTATTTTTAGTAATGACAGGGTTTCACCGTGTTAGCCAGGATGGTCTCAATCTCCTGACCTCATGATCCACCCACATTGGCCTCCCAAAGTGCTGGGATTACAGGCGTGAGCCACCGCGCCCGGCGACAGACAAGTATTTTCATCTGCAGTTAAAGATATGGGGACTGAGACCTGAAGGACAGGCATCGTAGTTCACCAGAAAATAGCCTACGTATCAGTTTCCTGGAGAGCTGCCATGTTAGTGAGAATCATAGCTACTGCAAAGTACATCGAAGGCAGACTGCATCTGCCAGGATTTGCTCACATATGTGCTACCAAGACCTTATCCTTTGCTATGATATCGAGCAGCAAGAGTTAAAAATACCACTTTCTCTCTTCATCCTAAAAAAATTTCCCCCAATCCTTTTCACTTGCTCACTTCTTTTCTGAAAAGAGAATGTGATCTGTTGGTTCTCGGGACTCTCTCTATTTAAGAAATATACTTCCCCAACTGGGCCAGGTGCAGTGGCTCACACCTGTAATCCCAGCACTTTCAGAGGCAAAGACAGAAGATTGCTTGCACCAGGGGTTCAAGACCAGTCTGGGCAACATAGTGAGACCGACATCTCTATGGGGGAAAAAATAAAGAAAAAAAATATATATATTTCCCCAACTAGCTAGAGTTTTTCCACTAGTACATTTACTGAATTAAATAGGCTAACTGGACTAGTCTGGCTAAAGAAGAATGTCAATCTGAATTAGTGGAAAATCTGAGTTTTAAATATCTGTTAGGAAAAGTAGTAACTTTGCAAATACTTGTAGTGAGTCTGAATTCATAGCTTTCATAAAACTAATGCATTAAAGTCATTTAAAGAATGTGTTCTCTTATTAAGCAGGTTAAATGTGGCTCTGGCAATATTATTTGTACTATAAATCTTCCTTAAAATAATCAGAGGGGCCAGAGTGCAGCCCAAGTAAATAATTGCAATCTAAATTAATAAGAAGCCTTTACTGCAGCTATTCTTTCTATGTTCAGATATGTTCCCAATCCTAATTTGTCTTTAGTCAAGCAGAGATCAATACATTTTTTTCTTAGAAGTCCAAGTATAACTTAATGATAGCCATGTTATTTAAGGAACACTATTTGTTTCTTATTTTGTTTTTCACAAATGTGATAGTTTTCATGTTCAACTAACTTTATGAGTTTTGTCATCAATGTGAGACATGAAATGTATAATTAGTTTACAAAAAACTCCAGCCTAAAGAAAAACTATTGCAATTGACAAACACTACCCCATACTTCATGTTTTCTGCACCATCATCTTTTCCTCCTAGCTTTATGGTTATAAAATTTGTCTCTGGTCAGGCGCAGTGGCTCACACCTGGAATCCCAGGGCTTTGGGAAGCCGAGGTGGGCGGATCACTCGAGGTCAGCAGGTGGAGATCAGCTTGGCCAATATGGTGAAACCCCGTCTGTACTAAAAATACAAAAAATTAGCCGGGCATGGTGGTGTGCACTTGTAAGCCCAGCTACTCGGGAGGCCGAGGCAAGAGAATCGCTTGAACCCGGGAGGCAGAAGTTGCAGTGAGATCACGCCACTGCACTCCAGCCTGGGCAACAGCGAGACTCCATCTCAATAAATAAATAAATGAAAATAAAATTTGTCCCTAAAACATCAAAATTTAAAACAAGAATATGATTGCTTAACAGGACCAGGAGAGAGCAAATGCAATGTGTCACCAGGTGAGGTGGCACACACTTGTCCCAGCCACTGAAGAGACCGAGGGGGAGCATGACTTGAGCCCAGGAGTTCTGGGCTATGAGATGCTATGCCCAATACATGTTCACACTAAGTTCAACATCAATATAGTGACTTTCTGGGAGCACGGGACCACCAAGTTGCCTAAGGAGGGGCAAACTGGCCCAGATTGGAAGCAGAACAGGTCAAAACTCCTGTGCTGATTAGTGGTGGGATGGCACCTGTGAACAGCCACTGCACTCTAGCCTGGGCAACATAGCAAGACCCTTTCTCTTAAAAAAAAAAAAACTGCAGTGTGTCAAATCTGTTTCAGAGCAACTGCCATAAGTGACATTTAAGATGCATTAACAGCCACCAGAATTGTTTCCTGGGATAATACAAGGAAACATCTGGTGTAAGTTTTTCACTTAATTCTTTCCCCATTCTCACAGGTAAGTGTAAAAGTGCACTTTTTCATTTTAGTGAATCCCCAATACACATCTGGGGTGGGGATGGGATAGAAAACTTGAATGAGGCTTCTGACACCCCAGATTTGTAAAGAACAAACGCTTTCGAGGCACAAGTTATTCTTTCCCATGTTCTGTTTCATAATTAAGACCGTTTGATTATATTCATACAAATAGAATCTTGAAGGATCAGATAGATATTTATCCTAAGACTCTACATTATTATTATTATTATCTTGAGATGGAGTTTCGCTCTTGTTACCCAGGCTGGCGTGCAATGGCGCGATCTCAGCTCACTGTAACCTCCACCTCCTGGGTTCAAGCAATTCTCCTGCCTCAGCCTCCTGAGTAGCTGGGATTACAGGCATGCGCCACCCTGCCCGGCTAATTTTGTATTTTTAGTAGAGATGGAGTTCTGCCATGTTGGTCAGGCTGGTCTTGAACTTTCAACCTCAGGTGATCTGCCCGCCTCAGCCTCCCAAACTGCTGGGATTATAGATGTGAGGCACCGTGCCCGGCCTTACATTATTAATAATTATGATTATGACTTTATTAAGTAACTGTGGAATTGGCCATTCATACCGTTCAGGTGAGAAGAAGCCTTCAAAAAAAATGATGAAAATAAAGACTTTTTTGTGTGATTTTTGGTTTTGTTTCCTTGTTTTGCAGCCGGGGAGGCCCAGGTTGAAGGCAGAGCACAATCACGTAATTGTCTCAAGAGCTCTGGAGTTGCTTGAGTGTGTTTCGTAGTCTCTTTCAGGTTTCATTTTGAGTGCAGAACAAGGAGATTCCATCCAAAGAAGAGACATTTTGGGACAGTTTAAGGCCAGGAGCAGTTCAAAAAGGATAACGTCAAATGTTGTTCTTGCCTCAACTATTCGCACGGTTCCTGTATCAAAGACCGAAGCTGTCATCACATTTACACATCTGTACTGGTTTAGAAGTGTAAACTCCTAAAATTAGAAGTTTGATTTCAAGCAATCAATTGTCTTAATATATAGCCATCAGTTTCTAGCCAGAAGACGGGCTGAATTCAACTTAATTTTTATAAAGCCCAGTTTCCATGCTTGGCATACAACCTCTAGGCAGGGTCCAGGTCTCAGCTCAGTACTTGCTCTCCTCTGAGGGGAGCCCATCAGCATGTCCCTGCTCTCTCTGGATACTTGTTCCATTTTAAATAAACACCCCTCTACATGCAGCCCCTCTGTGAACCCCTCATTTCCCGGTTTGCTTTTCTTTTGAGCCTGGCGGGTGGATGATGACGCTGAGTGCGGGTGGCCAGGGAGCATGTGTACCATGGGGTAGCGAGTGTGCTTCTGCTGGGCATTCTCTGCTTCCCTATACCCTTGCCAAGCCATTGCTCCTGCTTCCTGAGATAAAATCTGTCCTTGGTGCCATCCAGCACTCTCACTCTTTCGATTCCTGGTCCTCTCCTGACTTCTCCGCTTAAGCTTGCCTCCCCCCGGCTCCAACCCTTCCTCCTTTCTCAGGGTCTGTGCTCCAGATGCTATCCTCGTTCTCTTCATCAAGGATGTGGCCCACAAAGCATGTGCTATGCCTAAATCTCCAACCTCCCTTACTTTTTTGACTTTTCCCCCTCAGCATATGAGCACATTTATTTCTTTACAATCCTTAAGAACCACCCTGCGGCCTCTCTCTTCCCATCTCACAGAGAATGCCTGGATTTTGCTCATGGCCCACACTGCCTGACGACCCTCTCCTCCCCACGCTTGCAGCCAGCCTCGCTCGGGGCCCTGCACTCTGCCGACAGGCTCTAGCCTGGACGACTCAGGGAACAAACCAAATGGTCATTTTTCTGTCCTTTCCTCTGTCAGCATTACAACATTTGTAAAGTGTTGACCATGTTCAAACTCCATCCTTGAAATTCCCTCCTTCCTAACCCCCTGAAGCATCTCTTTCTTCTGAGTTCTTCCAACCTTTCTGGTAATTTCTCAGTACCCCTATGGGATTGTCTCCTTTTACCTTCTACCAGTAACTTTGTTCTCTTGTCACTCGGCCACCCATAGTAGTGATGAGCATCTACATGCCCAGAGGAGACTACCCAATCTGGCATTTTCAACCCGTAATTCTTTCCTGAGCTCTCAAGCCATGGACTCAGCTGCGCACAGGACATCTCCACATACATGGAAGTCAGCATGTCTCAAACTCGATTCCATGAGCCCGGCTGTCATCCCTACAGAATGCCCCTACCCTTATTTTCCTAGGCTCAGTGCGTCTTGTTCACACTCACCCTGTATCTCATCCCTGCATCTGTCTTATGAATCTCAACCCCATTTCATTGCCTTGGTACAGAAATTTCAAGCTTTTTACTTTCATCTTCCCGAGACTGATCTCCTCAACTCTGGTCCTGCCTCCCTGCAATCCGCTGGCCATGATCCAGTCCAAACAACCCTGTCTCTGTTAGAAGATGACCCAGGGCTTCCTGCTGCCTTCACGACTGCAGAAACTGGCATGCTTTGCTCCCGGCCTACTCAGCTGCCTCATTCCCTGCAAGCAGGCCTCATCCCCCACCTCCTTCTACCCATGCACAAAGCTGCCTCAGTGCCCAAGCCTGCCACGCTCTCTGGTTTCTGTCGCTTTGCAGTCTTTGTGCCTATGCTGGAAGTTTCCCTCCCCCGCATCTCTACCCAGACACCTCCTACTTCACAAGTCCTTCGAGACTTGGCTGGGTCTGCTTTGGGAAGCCCACCCTGCCCAGTCCCCTGCTCTGACCCTTCCCCACCCCTCCCGCCCTCTCCCTGGGACATGTTTGTTTGTTTGTTTGTTTTTTGAGATGGAGTCTTGCTCTGTCACCCAGACTCTCCTGCCTCAGCCTCCTGAATAGCTGAGATTACAGACATGCACCACCATGCCTGGCTAATTTTTGTATTATTATTATTATTATTATTATTATTATTATTATTATTATTTTGAGTAGAGACAGGATTTCAACATGCTGGCCAGCCTGGTCTCAAATTCTCAAATTCCTGGCCTTAGGTGATCTGCCGTCCTCGGCCTCCCAAAGTGCTGGGATTACAGGCGTGAGCCACCGTGCCCGGCCTCCCTGGGACATTTAACACAGCGCTGCTGACATTGGACTGTAGTGTTGGTTTATCTGTCTCCGCAGCTTAGGCTATGCATGTTTTAGAGGCAAAAATGATGTATTTTTCTGTACCCCCGGCACCTGGCACAGTGGCTGGCATACAGAAATCATTCAGGAAGCTGTATACTACCAGTGTAGTAAGAACGGTTGATACTTGGAGGTTCACAAAATGCTTCCACAAACACCATTTCGTTTGATCCTGAAAGCAATCCAGACAGGTAAGTACGGCTGGTGTTGTTATCCTTATATCAAATGTGGATATTTAGGCTCGCAAAGTGCAGGTGAACTGGCCAAGGTGACAGCTAGGAGGTGACAGAGGTGGAGTCTCTGGAACGCGCATCTTCTGGCCATGAGCGCCATACTTAAGCTAGTCTCTATGGCTGCACGAGCATCCCTTTCCTGCCACCTGCCAGAGGAAATAAACCTAGTTTTGATCTCTGTGATTCATGCATTTTTGCTACACATGTAACCAGAACCAATTTGCTGGAAATCTGTACTCTTCCCTGCTTTGCTGGTGTAAAACATGTATAACTAAAGTCTCTTAAGGAGTGGGGGCTGCAGGTAACATTCTCCTGTCTCTCAAATGGTACAGAATTAATGTAATCAAATTTTTTTTTCTTTTCTTTTTTTTTTTTGAGACGGAGTTTTGCTCTTGTCACCCAGGCCGGAGTGCAATGGTGCAATCTCGGCCACCTGCAACCTCCACCTCCCGGGTTCCAGCGATTCTCCTGCCTCAGCCTCCTGAGTAGCTGGGATAACAGGCATGCACCACCATGCCTGGCTAATTTTGTATTTTTAGTAGAGACAGGGTTTCGCCGTGTTGGTCAGGCTGGTCTCCAACTCCCGACCTCAGGTGGTCTGCCTGCCTGGGCCTCCCACAGTGCTAGGATTACAAGCGTGAGCCACCACGCCCTGCCAATCAAATTCTTTTTAAACATAAAGATTAATACTCCTCAGCAAAAATGAATTGCCAGGTATTTTTCAGAATCAAAAATTCTGTGCAGAGAATGGGAAAATAAATCCTAAACTTTCAGGAGGAAGAAAAGTATCCAATTTTGAAGATCGTATTGTGAGCCTGGTTTGAAAAAGACTTGTCTGTTATAGGTGAATGAGTCATAATGTGACCCAGAGAAACCCGTAACTAAAAGCATATAAGGGTGTAACAAGCGAAGTCCAAATCACCGGCTGGGACTGAAGGCACACCAGGAAAGCCAAAACACAGTGTGGCTGTTTGTCACAAGATCAATACAATCTCTGTAAGCAAAGTGTTCTCCACCCACAAAGCAGTTGCTGACTTTCCAGATAAAATTTTTTTGGCTTTTTCTGCCTATCTGTGACTCCTGGTGTTTTGCATTCCAGTTTTGCGATACAGCAAAATACATATTACCTGAGGGGTTTACACCTTCTTCAGGTCACCTGCAGCCAGGATGCGGTGCCTGACGAGAAGTGTGCCCTGTGCTGCTGTGGGCCACTGGCCCACAAAACACTTCCCAGTGGGGCTGACTAGTCATTCATGCAGGGGATTAATGCAGCTTCTGCTCTGTTCCAGGCACCATTCCAGGTGCCAGAGTTTCAACAACAAACAAGACAGGCAAAGCGCTGGCTCTCAAGAAGTTCACATTCCACCATTGGGAAGAAAACAAATAAATAAAGGAGAGGATGGGCCAGGTGCAGTGGTTCATGCCTATAATCCCAGCACTTTGGGAGGCTGAGGCAGGAGGATTGCTTAAGGCTAGGAGTTCAAGATCAGCCTGGGCAACAGAGTGAGACACTATCTCTTAAAAAAAAAAAAATTAGCTGGTCACAGTAGCACACACCTGTAGTCCCAGCCACTCAGAAGGCTGAGGTAGGAGGGTCACTTGAGCCCAGGAATGAGGCTGCAGTGAGCTATGATTGCGCCACTGCACTCCAGCCTAGGCAACAGAGTGAGACCCGGTCTCAAAAAAAAAAAAAAAACAAAACACACACACACACACACACACACACACACACAAAAGGAGGGAATGTAAATTCATGGGAAATACTGTGAAGAAACAAAATAGGATGTTGTGGTGGAAGGGGTCAGGGGTGGGGTCTAATTGAGAATGGACAGAGAAGGAAAGGCTTACTGAGGAGGTAACTCCTGAAGCCAGGAAAGCCAGTAAAACACAGCGAGTCTAACAAAATGCCCAACCTGATTTTGAAGAACTAGTTGATGATGGTGGAAAATGTCACCTCCGGCCAGCCTGGGCAATGTTCATAAATGGCTAGTGCTCAGGACCACAACTTGGAGCAAGGTCATTTGCTGCTGTTTTTATGATCACACAACTACTAAAAACCTGTCTACAGTCTGCAGGCCGGGCACGGTGGCTCACACCCATAATCCCAGCACTTTGGGAGGCCGAGGCGGGCGGATCACGAGGTCAGGAGATCGAGACCATCCTGGCTAACATGGTGAAACCCAGTCTCTGCTAAAAAAAATACAAAAAATCAGCCAGGCGTTGTGGCAGGAGCCTGTAGTCCCAGTTACTCGGGAGGCTGAGGCAGGAGAATGGTGTGAATCTGGGAGGCAGAGCTTGCAGTGAGCGGAGATCGTGCCACTGCACTCCAGCCTGGGTGACAGAGCAAGACTCTGTCCAAAAAAAAAAAAAAAAAAACACCTCTCTGCAATCCGCAAAGCACTTTAAATATTTGAAGTGAAAGCGAATTCAGAGACAGCGAACTTAATCTCTTTGTTTGCCACATGAAGAAATGGTTATGGCCCTGGTTGGCTTTGCATCCACGTGTTCATTCCATAGACATCCTCTGAGTTCTTGCCTTGTGCACATGGTGGGCAGGGAACCACAGGGGATACAGAAATAAACAAAATTCGAAAGGCCTTCAAGGACATCACAGTCTAGCAGGGAACACATTATCTAAGCCACATAGGAGGAAAAAAGTGCTGAAAGCAGTCATCCCCAGACCCCACCCAGAACTAGCAAGGGGCAAGCCAGAACTAGAACCCTGGACTCCAGACTTCTCATCTGGGATTCTTTCTTTCTTTCTTTCTTTCTTTCTTTCTTTCTTTCTTTCTTTCTTTCTTTTTCTTTCTTTCTTTCTTTCTTTTCTTCTTTCTTTCTTTTCTTTCTTTCTCTCTCTCTCTTTCTTCTTTCTTTCTTTTCTTTCTTTCTTTTCTTTCTTTCTTTCTTTTCTTTCTTTCTTTCTTTTTCTTTCTTCTTTCTTTCTTTCTTTTCTTTCTTTCTTTCCCTCCCTCCCTCCCTCCTTCCTTCCTTCCTTTCTTTCTTTTTTTCAAATCTCTCAGCTTTGTATTTTCTGTTACTTCCACCTAGAAAATCTCCCTATGTCCCCAGGCCATCCTCACCAGTCCATTTGGCTAATACTTAGCTTTCAGGTCTCAAATTAGATGGCTGCCTCTGAAACCTTGCGTGAGCCTCCTCTCCGTGAATTTCCTTCTGCTGTGCCCTCACTATGTGCTGTGCTGCAGTCAACATTGCCCAATAAGACCCCTCATCACATGGGCCTATGAGCTGTCCTTCAGGGTCACACTGCAACCTCAGGACCTGCCACAAGGCCTGCCGCACAGTAAGGGCTCAATAAAGTTCTGTTAACCAAGTAGGCAGATAGACAACTGTACTGAGCACGCTGCCGCCACTCTCACCGCAATGCAATCTTTTCTTTTCTTTTCTTTTCTTTTTTTTTTTTTTTTGAGATGGAGTCTCACTCTGTCACCAGGCTGGAGTGCAGTGACATGATCTCAGCTCACTGCAACCTCTGCCTCTGGGCTCAGCTCACTGCAGCCTCCGCTTCCGGGGTTCAAGCAATTCTCCTGCCTCAGCCTCCTGAGTAGCTGGGATTACAGGTGCGTGCCACCACACCCAGCTAATTTTTGTAATTTTAGTAGAGACAGGGTTTCACCATGTTGGTCAGGCTGGTCTCGAACTCCTGACCTCATGATCTGCCCGCCTCGGCCTTCCAAAGTGCTGGGATTACAGGTGTGAGCCACTGCACCCTGCCTCTTCTTTTCTTCTTTCTCACCTCCCTGCCTCCTTTTCCCACATCCTGGCACCTCCTCAGATCCCCGTGTACCTACTTGCCTCACCAGGGCTCCACCCAGACCTCCCTCCGAGGAACTACTGGGAGACCATTCACACTGCACTTATCTACCTCCGAGTGCCAGGCGTCCGGGCTGAAGAGCAACAGGACACCCAAGAAATGCCCTGACCCAGACTGTTTCTCTCTAACTGGATCCCTTTGCAGAGGACTGGGAAGCCATCTCTCCTACCCTCAGCACAGATCAGCCCCACAAAGCCATGGCTTCTTAGCGGCTTCCCAAGTCCCCTCACAGGACCCACTCACAGATAAGACTGGGAGGGAATACCTGGCTGTGTTAGGGAAAGAGAATATGGGTGATTTTTTTCCCTTTTCTTCATTTTCCAAACAACTCCGTGAAGTACTTATGCTACTTTTATATCCAAAATGTTTACATTTTTTAAAATGAGTCTTTGACAACAGCTTGGAGAACATGCTTTCCTCTTCTGAATGCCAGTCATACTGCTAGTCGGTGCGGTTCAGCCCAGCACGTAATTACCCTCTTCCTAAGTCCTGAGTATTGTTGTTGGGTCTCTCATGGCTAGACTGTCACACGGAGACAATTCGCGCCGCTTTACTCTGGGTTTCTCTACTAGGATCATCCCAGGGTCTGCCTGGCTTGTTGTGGCTGCTCATAACTTATTGTTTGGCTTTTTTGCTCAGGCCTCAGGTTTTGAGACAGCCCAGGGCTTCCAGTTGAGGGCTGAGGAAAAGGCTCTCCTCCTTCTCCGCCCTGCCTGAGCTCTGGTTCCATTCTCTTCCCTGAACTTGATGACTGACAACTATTTCAGTCTCTGAACTCAGCTCTCTGGTGGATTAAGGTGGGAGGCAAATTTGTTGTCACACTCCCAGTCAAGAGGTGGAGTTTTTCTCCTCCCCTCGATTCTGGCCTGGCCCTGTGACTGCTTTAATGAATAGAAGGTGCAGAAGTCATACTGGGCCAGTTCCAGGTATAAGCTTTAGGAAGACCTGGGAGATTTTGCTTTTGCACATTGGAGAGCCCTGAGCCACCATCTAAGAAGTCAGCTACACTTCTGGATAGACCATGTGGAGCAGCCACATGGAGAGAGAGAGGCCTGGCCATCCCAGCATCATGGCTGATCCCAGCATCATGGCTGAGCCCAGCCTGCCGGCCATCACTGCCAAGGCACCAGACATGAGGAAGCCATCTTTGGTGTTGCAGCTGGTGGAGTCCCAGGATGACTACAGCACAGCCAATGCCATGTGGAGCAGAAGAGTCGCCCAGCTGAGCCCACTCAGCCCTCAGCATGATGAAAGATAATACAATGTTGTTGTTTTAAGCCTACCAAAGCTGGCTCCCGACTATCACCAACACAACCTATCGGTGAGACAAAGCTGATCTCATTGCTTATTGCGGTAAGGGAGAACGCCACCTGGCAAAGCTTTGGCAGTGCTTCCAATGGGGAAAGGAAGGTCAGAATGCACTGATAATTGGGAGCTTGGTTTAAGGCAGTCCTTCATTATGGGGACTTGATCAGGACCGGGCAAGAATCACTATGCAACACTCCAAAATTGGTGGAAACAGCAAAGTAAGGATTTCAAGATGAAGGAGTCACAGAATCTTAGGGCACAAATTGTCTGTGGATGTTTTCCATGGAATGGTTGATGGAAAGTTTCTTTAATGAACAATCAAACCACTTACCTGGCCAGGAGACATCTGGAAAAATCAAGTCATACTAATGAAGACAGAGAAACAGCACAAAGTCATGTTACTATAGGCTGTAGGATATGGTTTAGGTTTCCCGGGTCCAGGCAGAGCATGGAGCTAGCTGGTTTTTGTTCTCAAGCCACTAAGTTTTGGAATGCTTTGTCACACAGCAATTAATAATCAAGACATTTCTCTAACCCTTCACTTCTCAATATTTCTGTATTTCTCAATCCGTTCATTCTTCAAATACTTGCTGTATACCTACTATGTGCCAGGCACTGTGCTAGGCTGGTGATACAAAAGAGAGTAAGATAGACCAGGTCCTCACTTTCTTGGAGCTTAAATTGTCATCAGGAGGAGATAGACAATAAACCATTAAACCAAAAAGTTAACAGGATAATTTTTATACAGATAAAGTGTTCTGAGGAAAATAAAATAAAGCAATGGAATAGAGTTTGGGGGGCAGTGGAGGGCAGGGACAAGAAGATAGAGCTGGTTAGAAACAATAGTCAACGCTGATCATGGTGGTTCATGCCTGTAGTCCCAGCTACTAGGGAGGCTGAGACAGGAGGATCGCCTGGGTTCCAGTGATTCTCCTGCCTCAGCCTCCCACGTAGGTGGGATTACAGGCGCCCGCCACCATGCCTGGCTAATTTTTGTATTTTTAGTAGAGACAGGGGTTTCACCATGTTGACCAGGCTGGTCTTAAACTCCTGACCTCAAGTGATGCACCAGCCTCAGCCTCCCAAAGTGCTGGGATTACAGGTGTGAGCCACCACACCTTGGAAATATGTTCTCCAAGCTGTTGTCAAAGACTCATTTTTAAAAACGTAAACATTTTGGATATAACAGTAGCAGCGATCCTCTTGGGCTCAGGAGTTTGAGGCTGCAGTGAGCTCTACTCCAGCCTGGGTAATAGAGCGAGACCAAAGGAAAGAAAAGAACAGAAAAGGTGAGGGACGAGGAGGTGAGGGGATGGGAGGGGACGGGAGGGGAGGGGAGAGGGGAGGGGGGTAGGGAAGCAGAGGAAGGAAGGAAGAAAAGAAGGAAGGAAGGAGAAAGAAAGAAAGGAAAAAGAAAAAGGAAGGGAAGGGAAGGAAGAAAGAAAGTTGGTCAAGGTAGTCCTCTTGAACAAACGACATCTGAGTTGGATGATATGCGAATGGTGGAAAAAGCCAACCAGGTAAAGATCTAGGGTGAGAATATTACAGGCAGAGGGCACGGCACAGGCAAATCCCTGAGGCAGGCAGGAACTCAGAGTGCCAGAGGGACTGAAAGGGCATGTGCCTGAAACACAGCGACCAGACAATGTGTTCCAAGTTGAGGCCAGAAAGGCTGGCAAACGTCAGTTCACACAGGGCCTTGAAGGCTGCCAAGGTCAGTTCACACAGGGCCTTGAAGGTATCACAAGGAATTTGGACTTGAGTCTAAGCACGATGGGAAGCCCCTGGAGCAGCGTTGCCTAAAAGAAATAAGATGTACCTGGGTGGCGGAGGTTGCAGTGAGCCGAGACTGTGCCTGTGCTTTCCAGCCTGGGCAACAGAGTGAGACTCCGTCTCAGAAAGAAAAAAAGAAAGAAATAAGATGTGAGCCATGAAGCCATGGATGCAATTTTAAATATTCTAGTAGCTAAATTTTTTAAAAAAGAGAGTAAAAGGTAGAATTAATTTTAATTATATATTATATTTCACCCAATATATCCAGATAGTATGATTTTGACATGTAACCCATATACAACATTATCAACAGGATATTTCACATTCTTTTTTTTTGGTACCAAGTCTTTGACATAGGTTTTGATGGTATCATTACAGCACATCTCAATTCAGAAAGTTGCCCTAGCCACATTTCAGGTGCTCAATAGAGACCTGTGGTCAGTGGCTACCATACAGGCCAGCTCAGCACTGGAGGGTTTAAGGATCATTATCCTCCCAGGTAGGTTAAAGCTGTTTTTCATTTCCTCTTTTATCTCCTACCTATCTGCCATTATCATTCATCAAGAACTTAGAGAATTCCATATAAGTACTTCCCCATCTATCTCATCCTCTTTACCTCAGCTCACGTGTCTTCAGTATTTTGTACATCAGCTATTGCTAAATCCTCTGAATTGGGCTTTTTGCCTTTTGTCTACCTCCTCCAGTCTCTCTCCACCAGGTTACTGGTGTGTTCTGCCAAAGCGGAGACCCCACCTTCTCCCATTTCCTCTTCAAAATCTTCTGTGGCTCCCACTCCCTGCTGAAGTTCAAACACTGAGGCCCCCAAGACCCCATCAAACAGTTCCACCCTGCTTTTAACCTTCTTTCCCCTGCCCCCTTTATGTGACACAGTTAAAACCCAGGTCTCAGCTTGGTCCACTTCATCACACTTCCCCCAGTGACTTATGAAGTAATGTTATCTTATTTCCCAAAATATCCTTAAACACCATGGAACAATTGTAGCCAAACATTGAAAGCTTTTAGGACCTGTTTCTGTTTCTATTTCCACTAATAACAATTTTCCTCTCTATAAAAAAGTGTTTCATATTTGTCTTATTTGATCATTTTTATTTTGTAATTCTTTTTTTTATTTTAAGGGCAATTCCAGTGGTCCACAACATTTGGATATGAGATGCCTACTTGTTTAATTTCTCAGTAGTTTTCATCCCACAAGAAAACTTCTAGCAAAAGTGATGCAAAAAATGTCAGTAATCAGTCATCACACAGGTGCGTGTGTGTGTATGAAAATTGAAGCTAGGCTGGGCGCGATGGCTCACACCTGTAATCCCAGCACTTTGGGAGGCTGAGGCGGGTGAATCGCTTGAGGTCAGGAGTTCAAGATCAGCCTGGCCAACATGGTAAAACCCTGTTTCTACTAAAAATACAAAAATTTGCCAGGCTGGTGGCAGGCACCTGTAATCCTAGCTACTCGGGAGGCAGGAGGATCACTGGAACTCGGGAGGCAGATGTTGCAATGAGCCGAGAACGAGCCATTGCACTCCAGCTTGGGCAACAAGAGTGAGAAAAAAAGAAGGAAGGAAGGGAGGAAGGGAGGGAAGGAAGAAAGATAAAATTGAAGCTAAAGCATACTTAATTGTGTTTGAGCAAACTTTGACATCACTTCAAATTATAAGAAACACTATGGGATATTGAAAATGTAGGCTAGGAATCTTTAAGATCCTCTTTGGCTTTAGTTATGACATAAAAGCACCTTGGCTGCCATCTTTGAAGTATGGTTGAAAGGTTGGTGTTTTTCTTTTTCCCCTCATTTGAAAAATTTAAGTAACTGAAGACGTAATTTTGTAGACTCTACTCCAAAAGAGCCATCAATAAACAATTCACGGGATGTCCACATGCCAGTGATGTTACAAGCTGCTCTTGACTGTTTATGGATGTGTGATTTAACTCCTGAATTAGAATGGAAGTAAATTGAGTCATAGATTATTATTGAAGGAAGTTTGCACTTGCATCTCTAAAAATTAGTATTTAAAGACAAGTGTCTCATAAGTTTGTTCCAGCTGGAGTTCCCATTCCCTAAGTTTGTCTAACAACTTAATTTTCATTTCACTTGGGAGTCTACTTTAGTCCTTTGCACATATTTGATATAAATGAAG